>NW_009646202.1:0-277797 GCF_000001405.40 Homo sapiens
CCCTTTAGAGGTGACTTTGCATATCTCACCAGGATTCTTTGGTGTTGACTTCATGGCTTAACTCTGTAGATAGTCCTGTTCTCCTTATTTACAGGTTGCAAGGAAAGCTTTATTGAAATGTCCAAATCTTAGGCAGATTTTTATTTAATGGACCTGTGGCAGGGCCCAAGAACCTGCATTTTTATTTGCAACCCAGGTGATTTTGATGAAAGAGGTTTCCTTTTAAATTATTGATAGTGCTGAAGCCATCTTCTCAGGTGTCCAGCAACTTGGAAATGAACCTACTCTTTGTTGGCTGGTGATTGAGCCTTGCTCTGCCTTGGTTCCTCTTTGGTAAAAGTGGATGGCCAAAGTCCCTCCTGGGAGATGGGGAGTCCCATGATGAGTGGGATGACTCTCACATATAAAAGTTTAGCCCGCCTTGCATTTGTCAGACACTCAGTAAACAGTGGACCTTCCTTAACTCCTGAGGTCCCAAGCTCAGGGTTGAGCCTGCCCTGCCTCCCTTCTAGACCATCTCCCACCATGCACCCAACTTGGGCAAGTCCCATAACCCCTCACAGCCTCAATGCCATCATCTGTAAATTCATTAATTTGCTGGCTGGGCACAGTGGCTCACATCTATAAACCTAGCACTTTGGGAGTCTGAGGCTGGAGGATTGCTTGAGCCCAAGGGTTTGAGACCAGCCTGGGCAACATAGTGAGACGCTATCTCTACAAAAAACTTTTAAAAATTAGCAAAGTGTGGTGATACACATCTGTAGTCCCAGCTACCGCAGAGGGTGAAGTGGGAGGATCACTTGAACCCAGGAGGTCAAGACTGCAATAAGCCATGACTGCGCCACTGCAGTCCAGCCTGGGTGACAGAGTGAGACCCTTTCTCAAAACAAACAAACGAACAAACAATAGTCTTTGCGTTACAAGGTTGTTGTAAGGATTGGAGTGGCATATAAACACCCAGGACAGTGCCAGAATGCAGTATCACTACAAGAGACTGTGGAAGCTGAGCAGTTGTGTTTTTAATCCTGGAGAATCTGAAAGATTCCTGGAGCATCTCCCATGTTGCTTCCCAATGCCTAGAACAATATCGGACATTCTGTAAAGATTTGGTAAATTCATGTTCTTTCCATTGCAGGACACAATTCTCACATTCCATCAGTGTCTCCAAAGAACCTACAAAACTGGAAAAATATATTCGATCATTTTATTTAACAGGTGTTTATATAGGGCTTGCAGTACATCAGGCCCTGCTGTAAGTGCTTTATAATAATTAACTCATTTAATCTTCATAACAACTCTATGAGGGAGATACTATTATTATTATCATTTTGCAGATGAGGAACTGAGATGAGGAGCAGCCCTGGACTGAGTGAATTGAACCCTCTGGGTGTGTTACATTCAGGATGGTGGAACAAGACCCCTGGGAAGAAGGTAATTCAAACCCTGGTTCTTCTGGATGCTTTCTGTTTCAGATGAGGGAAGCCTTTGGAATTGAAAATCAATTCAAACTGAGCAATATTAGTTGTAATTTTTGTATTTTAAAACCATCCTACCACGGCATCCCCATTTGGATGGTTACTATCAAAAAATAAAAACAGGGCTGGGCGTGGTGGCTCATGACTGTAATCCCAGCACTTTGGGAGGCCGAGGCAGGCGGATCACAAGGCCAGTAGTTCGAGACCAGCCTGGCCAATATGGTGAAACCCCATCTCTATTAAAAACACAAAAATTAGCCGGGTGTGGTGGCGGGTGCCTATAGTCCCAGCTACACAGGAGGCTGAGGCAGGAAAATCACTTGAACCTGGGAGGCGGAGGTTGCAGTGAACCGAGATTACGCCACTGCACTCCAGCCTGGGTGACAGAGAGAGAGAGACTCTGTCTCAAAAAATAAATAAATAAATAAATAAATAAAAATAAAAATAGGCCGGGCGCAGTGGCTCATGCCTGTAATCCCAGCACTTTGGGAGGCCGAGGCAGGTGGATCATGAGGTCAGGAATTCAAGACCAGCCTGGCCAAGATGGTGAAACCCCATCTCTACTAAAAATACAAAAATTAGCCAGGCGTGGTGGCAGGCGCCTGTAATCCCAGCTACTCGGGAGGCTGAGGCAGGAGAATCGCTTGAACCCGGGGGGCGGAGGTTGCAGTGAGCCGAGATCGTGACACTGCACTTCAGCTTGGGCAACAGAGTGAGACTCTATCTCAAATAATAATAATAATAATAATAATAAAAACAAAACAGAAAATAACAAGTGTTGGCAAGGATGTGAAGAAACTGAAAACTTGTGCACTGCTGGTGGGAATATAAAATGGTATAGCCTCTTGGAAGACAGTATGGCAGTTCCTCAAAAAATTAAAAATAGAATTAGCACATGACCCAGCAATTCTACTTCTGTGTATATACCCAAAAACACTTGAAAGCAGGGATTGGAGGATATACTTGTATTCCTATGTGTACAGCAGCATTATTCATAATAGTCAAAAGTGGAAACAACCCAAGTGTCCATTGGTGGATGAATAGATAAAGAAAACATGGTATATTCACACAATGGAAATGACTCATCCTTAAAAGGAAGGAAATTCTGACACACGGTATAACATAGATGAATGTTGAGGACGCTGTGCCAAGTGAAATAAGCCAGTCACAAAGATAAACACTGTACGATTCCACTTACGTGAGGCACCTAGAGTAGTCAAATTCATAGAGACAGAAAGTAGAATACTGGCTGCCAGAAACAGTGGGCAGGGCTGGAGGGGGAGTTCTTGTTTAATTGGTATAGAGTTTCTGTCTTGCAAGATGAAAAGAGTTCTATGGATGGATGGCAGTAACAGTAGCACGATGTGAATGTACTTAATGCCGCAGAACTGTACTCTTAAAAATGGTTAAGGGCCAGGCATGGTGGCATAAACCTGTCATCCTGGCACTTTGGGAGGCCAAATTGGGAGTATGCCAGTTAGAATGGCTATTATTATTTTTATTTTTTTTTGAGGCACAGTCTTGTTCTGTCACCCAGTCTGGAGATCAGTGGTGCAATCTTGGCTCACTGCAACCCCCGCCTCCCATGTTCAAGCAATTCTCCTGCCTCAGTCCCTCGAGTATGGGACTACAGGCGTGCGCCACCATGCCCAGCTAATTTTTGTAATTTCAGTAGAGACAGGGTTTCACCATGTTGGCTAGGCTGGTCTTGAGTTCCTGACCTCAGCTGATCTGCCCGCCTTGGCCTCCCAAAGTGCTGGGATTACAGGCGTGACCCACCATACCTGGCCAGAATGGCTATTATTAAAAAGACAAAAAACAACAGATGTTGGTGAGGATGCAGGGTAAAGGGAATACTTCCACACTGTTGGTAAGAATGTAAATTAGCATAGACACTATGAAAAACAGTATGGCTGGGCATGATGGCTCACACCTGTAATCCCAGCACTTTGGGAGGATGAGATGGGTGGATTGCTTGAGGCCAGGAGTTCGAAACCAGCCTGGCCAACAAGGTGAAACCCCATCTCTACTAAAAATACAAAAAATTAGTCGGGCTGCTGGGTGTGATGGCTCATGCCTGTAATCCCAGCACTTTGGGAGGCCGAGGTGGGTGGATCACCTGAGGTCAAGAGTTTGAGACCAGCCTGACCAACATGGAGAAACCCCGTCTCTACTAAAAATACAAAATGAGCCGGGTATGGTGGCGTATGCCTGTAATCCCAGCTATTCGGGAGGCTGAGGCAGGAGAATCGCTTGAACCCGGGAGGCAGAGGTTGCGGTGAGCCGAGATCACGCCATTGCACTCCGGCCTGGGCAACAAGAGCGAAACTCCATCTAAAAAAAAAAAAATTAGCTGGGCATGGTGGTGTGTGCCTGTAATCCCAGCTACTCAGGAGGCTGAGGCAGGAGAATTGCTTGAACCCGGGAGGGAGAGGTTGCAGTGAGCCGAGATCACACCACTGTACTCCAGCCTGAGCAACAAGAGCAAAACTCCATCTCAAAAAAAAAAGAAAAAAAGAAAAATAGTATGGAGATTTCCTGAAAAACTAAAAATATTAATAGAACTACCATACAATCCAGTAATTCTACTACTTGTTATTTATCCAAAGGAAAAGAAATCAGTACATCAAAGGGATATCTGCACCCCCATGTTTGTTGTAGCAATATTCACAATAGCAAAGATATGGAATCAACCTAAGTGTCCATCAATGGACTAATAGATAAAGAAAATATGACATATATACACAACGGAATAGTATTCAGCCATAAAAAGGAATGAATGAAATCACATCATTTGCAGCAACATGGGTGGAACTGGAGGTCATTATGTTAAGTGAAATAGGTCAGGCACAGAAAGACAAATATCACATGTTTTCACTCATATGTGGGAGCTAAAAAAAAGTTAACATCATGGAGGCAGAGAGTAGAATAATAGATACTAGAGGCTGCAAAGGATGTGTGGGTGCGAGGAAGGGATGAAGAAAGATTGGTCAATGGGTACAAACATACAGTTGGTTAGAAGGTGTAAGTTCTAGTATTTGACAGTAAAGTGAGATGACTAGTTAGCAACAATGTATTATATATTTCAAAATGGCTAGAAGCAAGGACTTGAAATGCTCCCAACATATAGAAACGATAAATACTCAAGTTGATGGACACCCCTAATACCCTGACTTGATTTTTACCCATTCCATGCATGTGACAAAATATCACATGTACCCCATAACTGTGTAAAATATGAGGTATCAATAAATATTATTATTATTATTTTAGAGACAAGGTCTTGCTCTGTCACCCTGGCTGGAGTGCAGTGGCATGATCTTGGCTCACTGAAGCCTCAAACTTCTGAACTCAAGTGATCCTCCCACCTCAGCTTCCTGAGTAGCTGGGATTACCAGCATGCACCACCATGCCTGACTAATTAAAAAAAAATTTTTTTTTGTAAAGAAGCGGTCTCACCATGTTACCCAGGCTGGTTTCAAATGATCCTGGTCTCAAGTGATCCTCCTCCCTTTGCCTCCCAAAGTGCTGAGATTACAGATGTGAGCCACCATGTCAAACAATTTTTTTTTTTTTTGAGACAGGGTGGAGTGCAGTTGTGTGATCATAGCTCATTGCAGCCTCCAACTCCTGGGCTCAAGCAATCCTCCTGCCTCCACCTCCTAAGTAGCTGAAACTACAGGTGCATGCCATCACACTTGACTAATTTTTACATTGTTTGTAACAACGAGGTCTTGCCATGTTGCGCAGGCTTGTCTCAAATTCCTGGCCTCAAGTGATCCAACTGCCTTGGCCTTCTTAAGTGTTGGGATTACAGGTGTGAGCCACCATGTCCAGCCCCTTTTGCTGCTTTTTTTTTTTTTCTTGAGACAGAGTTTCGCTCTTGTTGCGCAGGCAGGAGTGCAATGGCGCAATCTTGGCTCACCCCAACCTCTGCCTCCCAGGTTCAAGCGATTCTCCTGCCTCAGCCACCCAAGTAGCTGGGATCACAGGCATGCACCATTATGCCGTCTAATTTTGTATTTTTAGTAGAGATGAAGTTTCTCCATGTTGGTCAGGCTGGTCTCGAACTCCCGACCTCAGGTGATCCGCCCGCCTCAGCATCCTAAAGTGCTGAGATTACAGGTGTGAGCCACTGGACCTGGCCTCCTTTTTCTGATTTTTAAGTAATGTTTCTTTTTTTTTTTTTTTTTAAACGGAGTCTCACTCTGTCACTCAGGCTGGAGTGCAGTGGCGTGATCTCGGCTCACTGCAACCTCCGCCTCCGGGTTCAAGCAATTCTCCTGCCTCAGCCTCTCCAGTAGCTGGGTTTACAGGCATGCACCACCATGCCCAGCTAATTTTTGTAGTTTTAGTAGAGACAGGGTTTCACCATCTTGGCCAGGCTGGTCTTGAACTCCTCACCTCAGGTGATCTGCCCACCTCAGCCTCCCAAGGTGCTGGGATTACAGGTGTGAGCCACCACACCCAGCCAGATTTTGAAATAATGTTTCCGATAAAACTTTCAAACATCGCAAATGTTTTGAACAAAGAACGTGAGTGCTTCCCATAACCTCATATTCTCTTTTTTTTTTTTTTTTTTTTTGAGACCTGGCTGGTCTCAAACTCCTAGCCTCAAGCAATCCTTCTGCCTCAGTTGGTTCTTTCAGTGAAAGAAATGTGCTGTGCATTTTTTTTTTTTTTTTGAGATGGAGTCTCACTCTGTCACCCAGGCTAGAGAGCAATGGCGTGGTCTTGGCTCACTGCAACCTCCGCCTCCCAAGTTCAAGCAATTCTCCCACCTCAGCCTCTCAAGTAGCTGGGACTACAGGTGCATGCCACCACACCCGGCTAATTTTTGTATTTTTACTAGAGACAAGGTTTCACTATGTTGGCCAGGCTGGTGTCAAACTCCTGACCTCGTGATCCGCCCACGTCGGCCTCCCCAAGTGCTGGGGTTAAAGGTATAAGCCACCATGCCCAGCTTGTGCATATATTAACCCATAAAGTAATTAATATTTTCACAATATTAATAACCATGTCTAATCTATTTTGACAGCACAGAGCCAGCCTTTTCCTTCATTTCTGGGAGAAGTCCTTCCCCAGGAAAGCCAAGCTTCCACTTTCCACCTTCAAATCAAATGCACCAGTGCTCAAATGGGGTTCCAGGCAAAGATGGTGGGCTTGAGGCTCACTGGAAGATGGAGAAATATTATTAGAAGCAATTTTGCCAGCCTGCACAACATAGGGAGACTACGTTTCTACTAAATAAGTAAATAAATATATAGGCTGGGTGTGGTGGTTCATGCCGTAATCCTAGCACTTTTAGAGGCAGATGCAGGAGAATCGCTTGAGGCCAGGAGTTCAAGATGAGCCTGGGCAACAGGGCCAGGTCCTGTCTCAATTTAAAAATATATAAATATATATATATTTTTTTTTAAAAAAGAAAACATTGAAAAAAAGAATAAAAATTAGCTGGGTGTAGTGGCACATGCCTGTGGTCTCACATACTTGGGAGGCTGAGGTGGGAGGATCACTTGAGGCAGGGATGTTGAGGCTGCTGTGAGCTATGATCATGCCATTGCACTCTAGCACTCCAGCCTGAGTGACAAAGCGAAACCCTGCCTCAAAAAAAAAAAATTTTTTTTTTTTGTAAAAATGTAATACCTGGGCCGGGCGCAGTGGTTCACACCTGTAATCCCAGCATTTTGGGAGGCCAAGGTGGGCAGATCACTTAAGGTCAGGAGTTTGAGACCAGCCTGGCCAACATAGTGAAATCCCGTCTCTACTAAAAATACAAAAATTAGCCAGGCGTGGTGGCGGGCGCCTGTAATCCCAGGTACTTGGGAGGCTGAGGTAGGAGAATCACTTGAACCCGGGTGGCAGAAGTTGCAATAAGCAGAGGTTGCAGTGAGCCGAGATCACGCCACTGTGCTCTCCAGCCCGGCTGACAGAGCAAGACTCTGCCTCAAAAAAATAAATAAATAATGGCCAGGCCTCCCAGGGAGGCAGAGGTGGGTGGATCACCTGAGGTCTGGAGTTCGAGACCAGCCTGACCAACATGGAGAAACCCCTTCTCTACTAAAAATACAAAATTTAGCCAGGTGTGGTGGCACATGCCTGTAATCCCAGTTTACTCAGGAGGCTGAGACAGGAGAATCACGTGAACCAGGGAGGTGGAAGTTGCGGTGAGCCGAGATTGCACCATTGCACTCTGGCCTGGGCAACAAAAGCGAAACTCCGTCTCAAAAAATGAATGAATAAATAAATAAATAAATAAATAAATAATGTGGCCTGGCGCGGTGGCTCACGCCTGTAATCCCAGCACTTTGGGAAGCTGAGGCGGGTGGATCACGAGGTCAGGAGTTCGAGACCAGCCTGACCAACATGGTGAAACCCCGTCTCTACTAAAAATACAAAAATTAGCCAGGCGTGGTGGCACGCCTGTAATCCCAGCTACTCAGGAGGCTGAGGCAGGAGAATCGCTTGAACCCAGAAGGAGGAGGTTGCAGTGAGTCAAGATTGCACCACTGCTCTCCATCCTGGGCGACAGGGCGAGACTCCGTCTCAAAAAAAAAAAAAAAAGTAATACCTGAATTCCTATACTTCTCAGTATGTACAGTGATTAATATTAACCTAAACTATTCCCTGAATAAGACCTCAATTCAGAAAATTCAGGGTGTTTGGATGCTGTATTCATTCATTCAGTCAATCAATTCAGAAATCAATGTTTCCCCAATGCTTCTTAAGCCATGCCAGATTTGTTGCTAGACATAGAATCCCACAGAAAACAAAAAGAGACTTGGTTTGGGGGGAAAACAACTTATTTAATTTCTTATTCTTAGAGACAGTGTATCACTCTATTGCCCAGGCTGGAGTGCGGTGGCGTGATCTTGGCTCACTGCAACATATGCCTCCCAGGCTCAGGAGATCTTCCCACCTCAGCCTCCTGAGTAGCTGGGACTACAGGTGTGCAACACCACGCCCGCCTAGTTTTGGTATTTTTTTTGTAGATACAGGGTTTCACCTTCAAAAAATTTGCTGGGCATAGTGGCGCATGTCTGTAGTCCCAGCTACTCAGGAGGCTGAGGTGGGAGGATCACCTGAACCTGGGAGGTTGAGGCTGCAATGAGCCATAATTGTACCACTGCATTCCAGCCTTCGCAACAGAGGGAGATCCTGTCTCAAAAAAAAAAGTATTTTATCAAAAATGCAGCCGGGCGCTGTGGCTCACGCCTGTAATCTCAGTACTTTGGGAGGCCGAGGCAGGCAGATCACATGAGGTCAGGAGTTAGAGACCAGCCTGGCTAACATGGTGAAACCCTGTCTCTACTAAAACGCAAAATTAGCTAGGCAGGGTGGCGTGCACATGTAATCCCAGCTACTCAGGAGGCTAAAGCACGAGAATTGCTTGAACCTGGGAAGCAGAGTACTGTAGTGAGCCAAAATTGCACCACTGCACTCCAGCCTGGGCAACAGGGTGAGACTCCATCTCCAGAAAAAAAACAAAAGCATGACCAGGTATTGTGTGGCTCATGCTTGTAATCCTAGCACTTTGGGAAGATGAGACAGGTGGATCACTTGAGGCTAGGAGTTTGAGACCACCCTGGCCAACATGGCAAAACCCCATCTCTACTAAAAATACAAAAATTAGCCAGGCATTGTGGTGTATGCCTGTAATCCCAGCTACTTGGGAGGCTGAGGCACGAGAATCACTTGAATCCAGGAGTCAGAGAGTGCAGTGAGCAGAGACCACGCCACTACACTCCAGCCTGGGTGCTGGGTGATAGAGGAAGACTCTGTCTCAAAAAAAAAAAAAAAAAAAAAAGCGTAACCTAAATCAAATCATAAGGAAACATCAGACAAACCCAAACTAAAGGGAATTCTACAAAATGACTTGCCTGAAACCTTTAAAAACATCAAGTTCATGAAGACTAGGAAAGGCTGAGGAACTCTTCCAGATTAAGAAGGAAATTAAGCAAACAGGACAAATAAATGCAACATGTGATCCTGGACTGGCTCCTGGTCTGGAAAAGAGAAAGCTATAAAGGCCTTTAATTGGACAATTAGTGAAATTTGAATATGAATTTCAGCTTAGATAACAGCAATTTAACAATGTTAAATTTTCTGCATTTGATAATTGTACAGTGATTATTTAAGAGGATGTCCTTCATGTTAGCAGTGAAGATGGAAATATTTAAGGGTAAAAATCTATGATTTGCTCTCAAATGTTCATTTAAACTATAATTTTAGGCTGGGCACAGTGGTTCACGCCTGTAATCCCAACACTTTGGGAGGCTGAGGTGGGCGGAACACCTGAGATCAGGAGTTTGAGACCAGCCTAGCCAACATGGTGAAACCCCATCTCTACTAAAAATACAAAAATTAGCCAGGCGTGGTGGCACGCGCCTGTAATCCCAGCTACTCAGGAGGCTGAAGTAGGAGAATAGCTTGAACCTGGGAGGTAGAGGTTGCAGTGAGCCGAGATCCTGCCACTGCCCTCCAGCCTGGGACAGTGCAAGACTGTCTCAAAAAAAAAAAAAAAAAAAAACCCCAAAACTACCCGAACATGGTGGCGGGTACCTGTAAACCCAGCTACTCAGGAGGCTGAGGCAGGAGAATCGCTTGAACCCAGGAGGTGGAGGTTGCAGTGAGCCGAGATCGCGCCATTGCATTCCAGCCTGGGCAACAAGAGTGAGATTTTATTTCGAAAAAAAAGTGAAAAATAAAAAATAATTTGGTAAGCAGGTTGATAAAAAAAAAAATAATAGCGATATATATTGTATACAGAATGCTGAAGTAAATGCAGCAAAAATATGAATTGGTGAACATAGGTGAGGCGTGTATGGGAGTTCCTTAAGGTGTTTTTGCAACTTTTCTGTAAATTTGACATGCTTTTCAAAATAAAAATTTAAAATTAAGAAAGCCTGTTAAGATATGTAAAGGAAGGGTAGGGGTGATTGCTGAAAGGGGCTCCATCGAGGACTAACCCTGCCAATAGAATGGTACTGTATGCCAGAGCACAGCCACACTGATGTCCCTCCAGTGCCACACTGATGTCCCTCACTCCTGGAAAGGGCCTCTGTAGAAGATGATACTGGGCCAGGTGTGGTGGCTCCCGCCTATAATCCCAGCACTTTGGGAGGCTGAGGCAGGTGGATCACCTGAGGTCGGGAGTTCAAGACCAGCCTGACCAACTTGGAGAAACCTTGTTTCTACTAAAAATACAAAATTAGCCAGGCGTGGTGGCGCACGCCTGTAGTCCCAGCTACTTGGGAGGCTGAGACAGAATCGCTTGAACCCGGGAGGTGGAGGTTGCAGTGAACCGAGATTGCCATTGCACTCCAGCCTGGGCAACAGGAGTGAAATTCCGTCTCAAAAAAAAAAAAAAAAAAAAAAAAAGATGATACCAATGGCTGGGCTCCAAAACGAAATCAGTGTGGGGGACAAGGGTTCACCTTGTACTTTGTCCCAAATTTGCCCCTAAACATCAAGCAACATATGAGAACATATGAGACCGTGTCAGCAATGCCTGGTCTGACCCTCCTCTGTTAGAAGCTGGAAGTTATTCTGTACCTTCTTGCTTTACCTTTTCTTTTCTTTTTTTTTTTTTTGGTTTGTTTGTTTCTTGCTGTTGAGGCCAGGAATACTCTAACGTTTCCACAGATGAGTTAACATTTGCATAACAATCTGGGTGACCCTGTTCTTTCCTGTTGGAAAGGGACTTTTCT
This sequence comes from Homo sapiens, assembly GCF_000001405.40. NCBI lineage: Eukaryota > Metazoa > Chordata > Mammalia > Primates > Hominidae > Homo > Homo sapiens. Next base: position 11,186 of record NW_009646202.1, read on the forward strand.
TGACTCCTGAGAGGATAAGTTGAGGGTCTTTTGAAGCTGCCCAGGCCCTATGGGTGGGGACGTGCCTGTCAGCCCACCAGTGGAGAGCTGGAGCCCAGTGAGTCTCAGGGGTTGGAGGTGTGGCGGGCCAGGAGAGTGTGTTGAATATGGGGGCTAGGAAGTAGGGTTGGGCCCAGCCAAGGTTGGGGGTAAAATTGTCCACACTCACTCATGTCCCCTTGAAACCTATTATATAAGGCTAGGGTAATACTTTGAAAATTCACTACATTTTGTCACCAGTTGAACACGACTGTTTCGTGGCAGAACTTGATAGAATACAAGAATGTTTTCTCCTTGTGTACTATGCAGATTTGCCTAGGAGACCAGAAGTTCTTGGCACTCACTTACAAAATGGAAGTGCAGTCACGAAGTATCTGTTGGGTGTCTGCTGGAGTTCAAATGGTAAACTAGGTTGTCAAGGTTCCTGCCCTCAAGGAGGTAGAGAGCAAGAAAGGTCAATGGATTACCACAATAGAGTCTAAGGACAGAACGAGAAATTACCTAGGCCCTAGACAATAGTATTTTGAGTTAAAATTTTTTTCTTGGCCATGTCTGGTGGCTCATGCCCGTAATTCCAGCACTTTGGGAGGCTGAGGTGGGAGTATTGCTTGAGCCCAGGAGTTCCAGACCAGCCTGGGCAACATAGCAAGACTTCATCTCCACTTAAATAAATAAAAAAATAAAATAAAAAAGAAAAAATATGTATTTTTTTCTTGATTAAAAAAACCTTGGAGGCCGGGCATGGTGGCTCATGCCTGTAATCCCAGCACTTTGGGAGGCCGAGGTGGGCAGATCACCTCAGGTCAGGAGTTCAAGACCAGCCTGGCCAACATGGTGAAACCCCGTCTCTACTAAAAAATACAAAAATTAGCTGGGCATGATGGCGCATGCCTGTAATCCCTCGGAAGTCTGAGGCAGGAGAATTGCTTGAACCAGGAGGCAGAGGTTGCAGTGAGCCGAGATTGCGCCCCTGTGCTCCAGCCTGGGTGAAACAGTAAGACTCTGTCTCAGAAAAAAAAAACAAAAAACCTTAGCAAAAATTGACCAAAAAGTCAAAAGACAAGTGCTCAAGTGGGAAAAAAAAATTGCATATGTGCTAGCTGAAGGGCTAAGTCAATTAAAAATTAGACTCGGCCAGGCGTGGTGGCTCACACCTGTAATCCCAGCACTTTGGGAGGCCAAGGGAGGCAGATCATCTGAGGTCAGGAGTTTGAGACCAGCCCGGCCAACATGGCGAAACCCCATCTCTACTAAAAATACAAAAATTAGCAGGGCATGGTGGCAGGTGCCTGTAATCCCAGCTACTCGGGAGGCTGAGGCAGGAGAATCACTTGAACCTGGGAGGCGGAGGTTGCAGTGAGCCAAAATCGTGCCATTGCACTTCAGCCTGGGCGAGGATAGTGAAAGTCTATCTCAAAAAAAAAAAAAAAGAAAGAAAAATGCAAATTGAAATTTCAACAGGATACTACTTTCACATTGGCCAAGAGCAAAATGTTGATAATGTTTGCGGAAGGCTGGGGAAACAGGCTCTGCCCTATATCTGAGGGAAGTGTGCATTGGGCCAGCCTCCATGCAGGGCAAGTTGGCTACAGCTGTCAAGATCTAAAATGCACATCTTATGACCCAACAACTCCAATGCTAGGAACTTATCCTACAGACACAGTAAAAACTTGCAACATGTCACACTGTTAAGTGAAAAAAGCAAGCTACAAAGCAGTGTATATCATATGCTATCCATTGAATGTATATGTAAAATCCCATGGTTAAGCCATAATTTTCTTAACTTTCTCCTGTTGCTGGGTATGTTGTTTTCGTGTTTTTGTGATTATATTGTAATGCTGTGATAGACATCTTTTGTGCATGAATTTCTGTCTACACCTAAAGCTGTTTACTTGGGACAGTCCAGATTACTGGGCCAAGGAGATAGCAAAATGAATTTACAATAGCAACCATTGCAGCAACCATCACCATCTGTTAAGTGGGCTGTTTTGTTTTGTTTTGTTTCTTCATCTTCTCAACAGTCCTGTGAGGTAGGGAGGAGCACCTCCGTTTTGTAGTTGAGGAAAGGGGTTTAAAGGAGGTGAAGTGACTTGTTCCAGGGCACACAGCTGGAGTGGTGAGAGCAGACCTGGATCTGCTTGGCTCTGTTGATGAAATGGGTCAAATTCCTTAAAATATTTGGATTTATTCTGAGCCAAATATGAGTGACCATGGTCCGTGACACAGCCCTCAGGAGGTCCTGAGAACATGTGCCCAAGGTGATCGGGGCGCAGTTTGGTTTAATACATTTTAGGGAGGCATGAAACATCAATCAAATACATTTAAGAAATATACTGGTTTGGTCCAGAAAGGCCAGACAATTCAAAGCGAGGGGTGGGGGTAGATGGGGTACTTCCAGGCTGTAGGTAAATTTAAACATTTTCTGGTTGACAATTGGTTGAGTTTTTCTGAAGTCCTGGGATCAGGCCGGGTGCAGTGGCTCACACCTGTAATCCCAGCACTTTGGGAGGCCGAGGTGGGCAGATCACCTGAGGTTGGGAGTTCGAGACCACCCTGGCCAATATGATGACACCCCATCCCTACTAAAAATACAAAAATTAGTCGGGCGTGGTAGCAGATGCCTGTGATTCCAGCTACTGGAGAGGCTGAGGCAGGAGAATGGCTTAGATCCGGGAGGTGGAGTTTGCAGTGAGCGGAGATAGCACCATTGCACTCCAGCCCAGGCGACAGAGCGAAACTCTGTCTAAAAGAAAAAAAAAAAAAAAAAAAGGCTGGGCACAGTGGCTCACACCTGTAATCCCAGCACTTTGGGAGGCCGAGGCGGGCAGATCACCTCAGGTCGGAGTTCCAGACCAGCCTGACCAACATGGAGAAATCCCGTCTCTACTAAAAATACAAAATTAGCCTGGCATGGTGGCACACACCTGTAATCCAAGCCACTTGGGAGGGTGAGGCAGGAGAATTGTTTGAATCTAGGAGGCGGAGGTTATGGTGAGCCGAGATCATGCCATTGCACTCCAGCCTGGGCAACAAGAGCGAAACTCCGTCTCAAAAAAAAAAAAATTATTTTTGGTTTACAGCTCCCAAACCCCTGCTTTAGAGGCCCTTCATCTATTCGGGGCTTTCTTTTTTTGAGAGAGAGAGGGTCTGGCTCTGTTGCACAGGTTGGAGTGCAGTGGCGATCATGGCTCACTGCAGCCTCTGTCTCCTGTGCTCAAGTGATCCTGCTACCTGGGCCTCCCAAAGTGCTGGGATTACTGGCATAAGCCACCGCACAGGGCCTACTTGGTGTATTTTTTAAGGGTCTTGGTGGCTGAGCATGGTGGCTCACGCCTGCAATCCCTGCACTTTGGGAGGCTGAGGTGGGTGGACCACCTGGGGTCAAGAGTTCGACAGCAGCCTGGCCAACATCATGAAACCCCGTCTCTACTAAAAATACAAAAAAATTGGGCGGGCACAGTGGCTCACGCCTGTAATCCCAGCACTTTGGGAGGCCGAGGTGGGTGGATCATGAGGTCAGGAGTTCAAGACCAGCCTGGCCAACATAGTGAAACCCTGTCTCTACTTAAAATACAAAAATTAGCCAAGCATGGTGGCATGACTCTGTAGTCCCAGCTACTTGGGAGGTTGAGGCAGCAGAATCGCATCGCTTGAACCTGGGAGGCAGAGGTTGTGGTGAGCCAAAATTGCACCACTGCACTCCAGCCTGGGCAACAGAGCGAGAGACTCTGTCTCAAAAAAAAAAAAAAAGAAAGAAAAAAGAAAACACCGAAAAAATTAGCTGGGCGTAGTGGCACGCACCTGTAATCCCAGCTACTCAGGAGGCTGAGGCAGGAGAATCACTTGAACCCAGGAGGTGGAGGTTGCAGTGAGCCGAGATTGTGTGCGCCACTGCACTCCACCCTGGGTAACAAGAGCAAAACTCGGTCTCAAAAAAAAAAAAAAAAAAAAAAAAAAAAGCGGGGGGGCTCTTCATAAACAATGTCAAATTACTCTCCAGAAACCTAGTATCAGTTTATGCTCCTCACACTCCCACTGAGATTGCCAAACTCTCCACACTCAGGTCAGTGTGGAGAATGGCAATATTTTCATTTTGCCAACTGGGAGGGAAAAAAATAGCCTCTCATAGTTTTGATGATCATGTCTTTGGTAACTAATGAATCTGACCATTTTTCATATGTTTATTCGCTGTTTGTACTTTTATTAACTGTTCATGTTGGACTACGTATTTTTAAAATATGCAAAACATTCTGAAAACTGTAACATGTCGATTCTTTTTCTTTTCTTTTCTTTTTTTTTGAGACAGTCTCGCTCTGTCGCCCAGGCTGGAGTGCAGTGGTGCGATCTTGCTCACTGCAGCCTCCGCCTCCCAGGTTCAAGCAGTTATCGTGTCTCAGCCTCCTGAGTAGCTGGGACTGCAGGTGTGCACCACCACACCCAGCTAATTTTTGTATTTTTAGTAGAGACGGGGTTTCACCATGTTGGCCAGGCTGGTCTCGAACTCCTGAGCTCCAGCAATCCTCCTGCCTCGGCCTCCCAAAGTGCTGGGATTACAGGCATGGGCCACCGCGCCAGGTAAACTGTTGATTCTTAATAAATCCCAGTAGAGACGTGCGCTTGCGTGGGCAAAAGCTCCTGCCGAGGCCATCAGACGCGTTGTTGAGGCTCCGGGTCCTTGGCTTTACCCTGGAGACCCAAGTCCAGGGGCCTTGGGTGCACTCAGATGGAGAAAGGTGGCAGCAAGGAGTTGGATGTGCCACTGAGACAAAAACCAACGCTAATACTCACCATCCGTGCATTGCCTTCTGTAAGCGTAACAAATGCCTGGGGCCACGGTCACCGGAAAGCCCCTCTCCTTGTCCGCGCCTGGGGTGGCTTCGGGGCTCGCCGCTGAGACGCGGGGCCAGGAGCGAGTCTGGCAACTTCCAGAGCCCTCCGCCCGCCTCCCCTGCCTCCTGCTTAGGTCGCTGCTCCGGCGGGGTGAGGCCGGGCGGGAGCGGGCAGGCTGGGCATGGCCCGCGAGGCAGGGTAGCCGGCTTGGAGCGCGGGGTCCGGGAGGCAGGCGCGGGGAAGGAGGCCGAGCGCGCCTGCCGGGAGGGCGAGCAGGAGGCGGCGGGCAAAGCCTACTTCGCTTAGTTTTGTGCGCCTGACAGCAGCCCTTCAGCAAGGTGAATTCTTTGAGGAAGGGTCTCATTCACAAGCTGCCAAGACATCCGCGACCTATTCTTGAATTCACACAAAAATTAAAGGAAAAACAACAGCCCAACTAATTTAGCAACTTGCAAGAGGCAGCTGGTGCTCCTTTCCGCGCCCCTGGGGCCCAGTCTTCCCCTCCCCACCGCCTCCCACCCCGCCCCCACCCCCGCCTCGCCTCTGAGAGGTCTCCCCAGAGTTATTTTGTATCCTGCAGCTCCAGGCCTCATTGTGACAGCTGAGTGACTTAGCTGGCACCGTGGGATGCGGAATGACAAAGGCGCAGAGCATCGGAGGCCCGGTGGCAGCAGGGGATGGCAAGGGATGGCGGAGGCTTGCAGCTCTGAGGACCCCCCATCCAGCAGCCGCCTGAGGTGCCCAGTCGCCCATTCCACCTCCCTCTAAAATAATGCTTCTATGAATTAAGTGAGAGGCTTTTGCAGTCCAAAAATTGGTACTTCCAGTGTCCTCGCAGGCTGGAGATGGTGGGGTCTCAGGCTTCTGCATGTCCTGGCCCTGACAGTTCTTTTTCTGTCGCTGCCAGTAGCACCTTCTCTCTATCTCATCCATTAAGTGCCAGGTCTCCTGCCTTCTGTCCCCGAGGCCACTTCGCTCTCCCTGGCTTCCCCATCTTTGTGCCTCCTTGGTGGTGCCAGCTTCCTCTCCAGCCTGGGAGAGGTCATGGGTTCCAAAGGCCTGTCCTGGCAGTGCCGGCCTGGACTCCTGAACCGCCCCCAAGGGCCATCCTTACAGAACAGTGACTTCAGGCCTGGACTCTGAATTCAGACCTCACTGAGGGGCAAGTGGAGTGCAATGATCAGCTGCTCAGTTGGGAATTCTGACCTCCCTGAAACTGCTTAACACCTCAGAGCACAGTTTTCTTGTCTGTAAAATGGGGCATAATAGCAATATTTAAAGAGAATGGTTATGAGGATTACATGAGCCAATTCAGGGAACTCACTTAGGTTGTAAGTGCTCCAAAAGTGTTAGCTATTATTAATAATATTGTTCTACCAAACACTAAAGACATGTTCAGCAAATATGCTCCCTCAGTCCACTTCAGCATCTTGAGTTCCCACACTATCTTCCTCAGAGGTTTTGAGTGGAGCCACAGAATTACACAACACTATCCCCAATATCAGTCCCCAACTCCTTTAATTGGCAGGAATAAAGTGTTCTTTCCCTAGCCACCCTGTAAATCAGCTCATAGGTCATTAACTGTTACTAAGAGCTCCAGACTAGGCTGAGGAAGCTGCAAAGAGGCCACTGAACAGATACTGGGCAGAATTTCTTTCTCTTCAGATACAGCTGTACTCCCAAGCAACATCCTTGTTTCCAAAAAATTCTACTTACACTTATGAGAAAGCTAATTATTTGGAAGCCAATAAGCCAATTTCTGTCTTAGTCCATTTTGTGTTGCTATAAGAAAATATCCAGGACTGGGTAATTTATACAGAACAGAAATTTATTTCTCACAGTTCTGGAGGCTGGGAAGTCCAAGATCAAGGTGCTGGCATCTGGTGAGGACTGCTCTCTGCTTCCAAGATGAAGCCTTGGTCGGGTGAGGTGGCTCATGCCTGTAATCCCAGCACTTTGGCAGGCCGAGGGCAGCGGATCACCTGAGGTGAGGAGTTCGAGATCAGCCTGACCAACATGGTGAAACCCTGTCTCTACTAAAAATACAACAATTAGCTGGGCATGGTGGTGCATGCCCGTAATCCCAGCTACTCGGGAAGCTGAGGCAGGAGTATCACTTCAATCTGGGAGGTGGAGGTTGCTATGAGCCAAGATCACACCACTGCACTCCAGCCTGGGCAACAGAGCAAGACTCCATCTCAAAAATAAAATAAAATAAAATAAAATAAAATAAAATAAAATAAAATAAAATAAAATAAAGATGAAGGCTTGAATGCTGCATCTTCTGCAGGGGAGGAGCACTACGTCCTCACATGGCAGACGGCAGAAGGGCAGAAAGGTATGGCTTTAAGAAAAATATTTGGGTCGGGTGCAGTGGCTCACCCCTGTAATCCCAGCATTTTGGGAGCCGAGGCAAACGGATCACCTGAGGTCAGGAGTTCAAGACCAGCCTGGCCAAACTGGCGAAACCCTGTCTCTACTAAAAATACAAAAAATTAGCCAGGTGTGGTGGAGGGTGCCTGTAATCCCAACTACTTGGGAGGCTGAGGCAGAACAATCACTGGAACCTGGGAGGTGGAGTTGCAGTGAGTCGAGATCACACCACTGCACTCCAGTCTGGGTGACAGAGTGAGACTGCATCTCAAAAAAATGAAAAAGGAAGATATTTGGGTCGTATTGCATTTAGGGAACACAGTGGTTCTCCCTGCCATCCATGGCTTTGCTTTCTGCAGTTTCAGTTACCTGAAGTCAATGTGGTCTAAAAATATTAAATGAAAAATTCCAGAAATAAACAAGTAGCATGATGAAATCTCACACCATCCCTCCATCCTTTCTTCATCACAAGAAGGGTACAATAAGATATTTTGAGAGGGAGACTACATTCCCATAACTTTTAGTACAGTATATTATTATATTTTTTCTGTTTTTAAATTATTAATAATTATTTTGAGATAGAGTCTCACTCTGTCACCCAGGCTGGAGTGCAGTGGCATGATCATGCTCACCACAGCCTCAACCTTCCAGGCTCAAGCTGTCCTCCCAACTCAGCCTGCTAAGTAGCTGGGATTACAGGCATGTGAACAGCTAATTTTTAAATTTTTTGTAGAGATGCTACAATAAATTTTGTTGCCCTGGCTCTATTTTATTATTAATTGTTGTTGCTAATCTTTTACTGTGCCTAATTTATAGATTAAACTTTATCATAGATATGTATATATAGAAAAAAAACCATAGTATATATAGGATTCAGTACTATCTGTGGTTTCAGGCATCCACTGGGAATCTTGGAACATATCCCCTGAACACTACTGTTTGTTAATTTAGGTTAAGCAATACCACCTGCTATAGCAGAAAAACTTCAGCATCTCTTCGGCTTAACACAATAAGGTGTATTTCTCCTGTTACATATCAGAACAAGTGGGAGGAGTCTGCTCCATGCAGTTACTTAGGGGTCCACGCTAATGGCAGCTCTGCTAACTTGTAGCTCATCATCTGGAACACATGGCTTCTGAGATACTACCGAAGGGGAAGAGAGGAATGGAGAATGACTCACTCTGGTTCTTAACTCTTTGAACCAGAAGTAACACATATCATTTCAGCTTCTCATCCATTGGCTGAAACTAGCCACATGGTTCTAACCTAATGGAGGGGAAGGCTATGAAATGCAGGGGTGCACAGGGACTATTTGGTGAACACTAATTTTTCTGCTACAGAGAAAGATATTACAAATTACAAATAAGCTGAACTTAGAGTTATTTCATGTCATCAGTTGCAATTCAGGAAACGAAATCTAGGAATTATTACAGACTGTTTACCACAGGTTATGACTCCATGTGTGGCATTGGAATTGGTAGAAAACAGATCTCAGTCTCGGTAACAGATATGCCAAGTCACATTGGCCATGGAAGTGAGGCACATGGAGCAGATGAATAGGCTGCAAACACCAGAAGGGGCAGCTCAGATAAGAGGTCCTCAAAATATGATACTTGATTTTGGAAAGAGAAAAGGTACAATGGGAACAGTTCCAAGACTATGTATGTACATATATACCACAGAAAAAAATAGCAAATGTAGTACATGTAATAAAAATAGAACACTCCATTGGTCAAATGCTAAGATGCTACGTGTTTAAAGTCACTCTTCAACAAACACACACAGAGTAGAAAAAGTGGTTTTAGACTGGGTAACAGGAAGTACTACTTTACGGTAGTTAGGAAATATATTCATGCAGGCTTCATGTATTTAATGAATGTCTATGATGTGTTTGACATTTACAAGAAATCTGTAAGCATATGAAGTTTACAGTCTAATTTCTGAATTTAGACAGATAGATCTTAGATAAACAGATAACAGATCCTTAACCTTTTATTTTACTTAACATTATTTATTACTACTATGTGCAAGACACTTTGGAGAATATAAAGATGAACCAACCCCAATCCCAACCCTGAAGCAATTTATAGGCAAGGTTGTAGGCTGAGTGCGGTGGCTCACTCCTGTAATCCCAGCACTTTGGGAGGCCAAGGTGGGCGGATCACTTGAGGTCAGGAGTTCAAGACCAGCCTGGCCAGCATGGTGAAACCCCATCTCTACTAAAAACACAAAAATTAGCCGGGTATGGTGGTGCACGCCTGTAGTCCCAGCTACTCAGGAGGCTGAGGCAGAAGAATTGCTTGAGTCTGGGAGGCTGATCTGAGATTGCACCACTGCATTCCAGCCTGAATGACAGAGCAAGACTCTGTCTCAAAAAAAAAAAAAAAAAAAAAAAAAAGGCTCAGGTGTGGTGGCTTACGTCTGTAATCCCAGCACTTTGGGAGGCTGAGGTGGGTGGATCACGAGGTCAGGAGTTCAAGACCAGCCTGGCCAAGATGTTGAAACCCTGTCTCTACTGAAAGTACAAAAATTAGCTGGGTATGGCGGTAGGTGCCTGTAATCCCAGCTATTTGGGAGGCTGAGGCAAAGAATTGCTTGAACCCGGGAGGTGGAGGTTGCAGTGAGCCGAGATCGTGCCACTGCGCTCCAGCCTGGGCAACAGAGCAAGACTCAGTCTCAAAAAAAAAAACAAGGCTGTATGAAGCTGAGCTATGCCCTCTTACAAGCAGTCTCGTTACTGATACCAGTAGGTATCAGAGAGGTATCAAGCTGGTGAAATGGTTCACCAGACTGATCCCCTTGGCCTTCCTTGGGATGCAACTTGAAAGATGAACTTTAACCTGAAGTTCAATAATGAACCTGCCACTTTGGGAGGCCAAAGCGGGAAGTTCGCTTGAGCTCAAGAGTTCAAGACCAGCCTGGATAATATAGTGAGACCTTATCTCATTTTTTTTTTAAGCCGGAGTCTTGCTCTGTCACCCAGTCTGGCATGCAATGGCCTGATCTTGGCTCACTGCAAACTCCGCCTCCCAGGTTCACACCATTCTCCTGCCTCAGCCTCCCAAGTAGCTGGGACTATAGGCACCCGCCACCACGCCCAGCTAATTTTTTTGTATTTTTAGTAGAGACAGGGTTCACCAGGTTAGCCAGGATGGTCTCAATCTCCTGACCTCGTGATCCGCCCGCCTTGGCCTCCCAAAGTGCTGGGATTACAGGAGTGAGCCACCGCGCCCAGCCAACTTTATCTCATTTTTAAAAAATACATTTAAAGAGGAAATAATGAACTTGCCAACTTGAATGACCTGATGCTGTCTGCATTGGTTACCTTATAGCTGGAAAGGCAAATTCAGGGCCCCTGTCTGCAATTATGGTGAAAAATTGGCCAGGCGCAGTGGCTCATGCTTGTAATCCCAGCACTTTGGGAGGCTGAGGCGGGCGGATCACCTGAGGTCAGGAGTTCAAGATCAGCCTGGCCAACATGGCAAAACCCCGTCTCTACTAAAAATACAAAAAAGTTAGCCGAATGTGGTGGCACACGCCTGTAATCCCAGCTACTCAGGAGGCTGAGGCAGGAGAATTGCTTGAATCTGGGAGGCAGAGGTTGCAGTGAGCCGAGATTGCGCCACTGCACTCCAGCCTGGGCGACACAGCGAGACTCCATCTCAAAAAAGAAAGAGAAATTGGAATATTTCCAGATGTGGAATGATTATAATTCATGCAAACCATCCGAGGAGACTTGACATTCTTGTAAGTTCTAGTAAGTTACTTTTTTACTACTTTAGTTTCCTTAGCTGAAAAATTTAGTTTGACCTTCAGCCACAAGAGAGAGATTAACTGAGGCAAAAAACTGGAATACATGCTAAAATATTATCATTCAGTGTTAGTATCTAGAACTACTTCTCTTTTTTTTTTTTTTTTTTTTTTTTGAGATGGAGTCTTGTTCTTGTTGCCCAGGCTGGAGTGCAGTGGCATGATCTCGGCTCACTGCAACCTCCGCCTCTGGGTTCAAATGATTCTCCTGCCTCAGCCTCCCAAATAGCTGAGATTACAGGTGTGTGCCACCACAGCCAGCTGATTTTTGTATTTTTAGTAAAGATGGGGTTTCCCCATGTTGGCCAGGCTGGACTTGAACTCCTGACCTCAGGTGATCCACCCTTGGCCTCCCAGAGTGCTGGGATTACAGGCATGAGCCACCATGCCTGGCCTCTTCTCTTTTTATTATACAAACCTTTTTTTTGTTTTTAATATGGGGTCTTGCTCTGTGTCCCAGGCTGGAGTGCAGTCGTGTGACCATAGTTCACTGCAGCCTTGATCTTCTGGGCTCAAGCCATACTCCTGACCTTAGCCTCCCAAGTAGCTCGGATTATAGGCACAGGCCACAATGCTCAGCTAATGTTTTAGTTTTTGCAGAGATCAGGTCTTGCTATGTTGCCCAGCCCGGTCTTGAGCTCCGGGCCTCAAGTGACCCGCCTTGCCTTGGCCTCCCAAAATGCTTGGATTACAGGCATGGGCCACTGTGCCCAGCTATACAAACTTTCAATGACAAATATGTTTGAAAATTTTATAATTAAAAAAATGCAGGCCAGTTGCGGTGGCTCATGCCTGTAATCCCAGCACTTTGGGAGGCTGAGGCAGGCAGATCACGAGGTCAGGAGATCGAGGCCATCCTGGCTAACACAGTGAAACCCTGTCTCTACTAAAAATACAAAAAATTAGCCAGGCGTGGTGGCGGGCACCTGTAGTCCCAGCTACTTGGGATGGGAGGCTGAGGCAGGAGAATGGCGTGAACCCGGGAGGCGGAGCTTGCAGTGAGCGGAGACTGCACCACTGTATTCCAGCCTGGGCGACAGAGTGAGACTCCGTCTCAAAAAAAAAAAAAAAAACAAAAAAAAAACCAGTATGGCTTTGGTGACTCGAGGGAAAGGGTGGGGGGGTGAGGGATAAAATACTATATATTGGGTACAGAGTACACTGCTCAGGTGTTGCGTGCACCAAAATCTCAGATATCACCACTAAAATCTTGTTCATGTATAAATAAATAAATAAATAAATAAGAAAAAATGCAGTAACAAGAAAAGCAAGTAATTCAGAAGTTTCACTCTTTCATCAATTCTTTTGTTTTCTTCCATCAATTCTTTAGGCACAGTACAAAAATATTGACTGTTTGGGAACCAAGGGTAAATGAATAAATTACTCAGGGCAGAGATTTGTGATTTACCATTTAAATAAGTTGTAGGATTTGAGGCCTGGCTAAGATGATATAAAACAATTCCCTTGATTAAATCTATTCATTAATTTAACAGTTACTTATTAAGCATTGGCTACGTATCAGGCACTGTACCAGGCTCTGAGGATATAGCTGTCTGCATAGGGCTTCCTGCTTTGTAGAAAACCCAACTTTAAGACAAGGCCACTCAGTGATTTGCTCAAGGCTTACACGCATTAGTTGGTTACAGAGATGGATAAAAATAAATCTGAGTGTCCTACTCTTAATTTGGCACTCCGTTCCACATTCCTTTGCCACTGGCCCTCTGAGCTGTGTGTTTTCCTTCTGTACTGAAAACAGAATAAGAGGCTGGGCACAGTGGCTCACGCCTGTAATCCCAGCACTTTAGGAGGCTGAGGCGGCCGAGGAAGGTGGATCACTTTGAGCTCAGGAGTTTGAGACCAACTTCGGCAACATGGCGAAACCTCATCTCTACTAAGAATACAAAAATTAGCCAGGCATGGTGACATGGGCCTGCAGTCCCAGCTACTTGGGAGGCTGAGGCAGGAGAATCACTTGAACCGAGGAGGCAGAGATTCCAGTGAGCTGAGATCGTACCACTGCACTCCAGCTTGGGCGACAGAGTGAGACTCTGTCTCGAAAAAAAAAAAAAAAAGAATAAGAAAAAAAACCTCTTTCCAGTTAGATGCGCACATTAGGTTGCAAAAACTGGAGAAAATTGTTAGTAGTTAAATTAAACTTGACTTATACTTCCTTACCCCTGTAAATTTATAAAGTAGTCCAGTGATTCTTAAATGTACTCTGGTCAGTTAACCAGATACGAAGATAGTTTCATTGTCTATATTGAAATAGAAAATAAAAAAAGAAGAAAAAAGTGAGAAAATGAACATATTGATATAAAGTTGCCCACTCTTTTTTCATGGGAAGGGCTATCTTTTATTCAGGGAGTATGTTCTTCTTACTATTTTGGGGGATAAAATGTCCTTTATTCTGTGAAATGATGCTGATAGTAGATAGCCATTAGTTCTTTTTAAAAATGTCCTTATTATCAAAATTAAAAGTTGGTGGCCGGGCACGGTGGCTCGCGCCTGTAATCCCAGCACTTTGGGAGGCCAAGGCGGGCAGATCACTTGAGGTCAGGAGTTCAAGATCAGCCTGACTGACATGGAGAAACCCTGTTTCTACTAAAAATACAAAATTAGCCAGGCATGGTGGTGCATGCCTGTAATCCCAGCTACTTGGGAGGCTGAGGCATGAGAATTGCTTGAAACCAGGAGGCAGAGGTTGTGGTGAGCCGAGATTGTGCCATTGTACTCCAGCCTGGGCAACAAGAGCGAAACTCCATCTCAAAAAAAAAAAAAAAGTTGGCAACTCTCAGTTTCCTCAAATTCTTTTTGAAGTGTTACTCTCCTACAAAATCCAAAAGACTGTGAATCGCAAAGTTAAACACTGGGGTGGTTCAAATTTTTGTTTTTTAGAGACAGGGTTCTACTCTGTCACCCAGGCTGGAGTGCAGTGATGGAGTCATAGCTCACTGTAGCCTCCAACTCCTGGGCTCAAGTGATCCTCCCACGTCAGCCTCCCCAGTAGCTGAGACTACAGGTGTGTGTCACCATGTCTGGCTAATATTTAAATTTTTTATAGAGATAGGGGTCTGGCTATCTTGCCTAGGCTGGTGTCAAACTCCTGGCCTCCAGCCATCCTCCCATCTCAGCCTCCCAAAGCATTGGGAATACAGGTGTGAGTCACCATACCCTGTCCAAATTTTCTTTGGTATAGCCTGGTGCTAAAAACTGTCTTTATTAAGACTATTTGGACATCACTAATTGATATGATTAGTGAAAGGCCACCTCACCTTTGAGTCTCAAAACAAAAACCAAAAGATCCCCGACAACTTTGTTCTTCAACAATCTTTAGCTAATTCTACAATCTCTTATCACTCTCCTGTCTTCCTCAGAATCTCTCATTTGAGGCTGAGGCATGTTTCTGGTTTATAGAAATCAATGGTCGGGCTAGTCTTGACCTCCTGGGCTCAAGCGGCCTCCCAAAGTGCTGGGATTACGGGCCCTGTAATTCCAGTACTTTTGGAGGCTGTTTGAACCCAGGAGTTCAAGACCAGCCTGGGCAACATGGTGAAACCCTGTCTCTATTAAAAATACAAAAAATTAGCCGGGTGTGATGGCATACTCCTGTAGTCCCAGCTAACCGGAGGCTGAGGTGGGAGGATCGCCTGAGCCTGGGAAGTTGAGGCTGCAGTGAGGCATGATTGTGCCACTGCACTCCAGCATGGGCAACAGGAACAAGACCCTGTCTTAAGATAAATAAATAAATAAGAAATAAATCAATGGTTGTTCACCCTGACTGCACAGGGTGATTTGGAAAAATGCTGATGAAGGGCCCCTCTCCCCAAATATTCTAATTTAATTGGCCTTACGTGGGACTTAGGCTCTAGGCTGGTTCAAGAGCTCCTCAGGTGATTGCTACGTGTGGCCAGGGAGGCAAACCACAGGTATGAATGGTGTGTCTTCATTAAGTAGCTTTTATGGCACTAGGGCAGTTACACAGATGAACAAACTGGTCCATGCAGTAGAAAAGCTAATTAGGAAAACAGGCAAAATATGACAAGAGAGTAGGGTAAATGCTTTTATTTATTCCATAATTCAACAAATATTAGCTAAGCACTTAACAAGCGCCAGTGCTGGAGTGAAGCCAGGCTCTCAGTCCTGTGGGCTACCTGCAAAAACCAGGAAAACTTCACAGAGGAGGCAGCAGCCAAGCAGGAATTGGGAGGAGTGCTTAGCCAAGGTCTTTATCAGATAAGGCAGGGAGTGAGGGCATCGCAGTGAGGACAGGGTGTGCTGGGCACAGACAAGTGGCAGGCTCGGGAAGCTGGAGATGAGATACTAGTGAGGTGCAGATATGCATACCTTTAGAGGACTAAGGGGTTTAGGCTTGGTCCAGAACGCATTTAAAAGACGTTAAAGGTTTTAAAGCAGGAATGCATAAATTAGATGTGGGTACAGAATACTGGTATTTGAGATAACCCCAGCTGTTCATAAAGGCAGCTGTAGCTAGAATTTCCTAACCAGTTTAATGCTTTGACTGATCATCCCCCATCCCCTCTGCCCTTGACTGAAGTAACCAGACATTGTGACCTTGTGGGGTCAGTTTCTAGTCAATGAAGGGAGAGGATTCCATGTGGCAGTTGGAAGGGAGGTGTAGATCAATGTTTTTTAAGTGACTAATTGAATGTAAATAGAATTCACCATGGGCTGGGCCCTGGACAAATACGTTTAGCGTCCTTGCCTGTGCCTCCTTACCCAATTTCCTTTAGAAGGACTTGGTAGTGCCTCTGTGGATGTGGTACCTCTTATCAGGCTGTTTGTCTGACTTGCTTCAGAGCAAGTAAACAAACCCAAAAGATCAAACCATCTGGGTTCCCAGAGGTTCCTGCAGCTCCTCTGCACTTTATTATTCTTGTTCAGAACTCAAGGACAAATAGGTCAGATCATGAAATCAGCCCAGTACTAGGGACTATAACCTTTTGGCTAAGACACTCACAGAAGAAGTAACTTCCTCGGTTGGGGAAGAAGAAGATTTAGCCTAGGCCAGTGGTTCTCAAATTTAGTGACTGTAAGCTTCAAGACTAGTCATGAGCTAAAAATATATTTTTGGGAGACTCGCTTCAGA
The DNA here is from genome assembly GCF_000001405.40 of Homo sapiens. Lineage (NCBI taxonomy): Eukaryota > Metazoa > Chordata > Mammalia > Primates > Hominidae > Homo > Homo sapiens. Next base: position 27,345 of record NW_009646202.1, read on the forward strand.
CTTACTGAATCAGAATCTCTGGGGTTGGGCCAAGGAAACTGTCTTTCAAACACTCATTCCCAGATCATTCTGATTCCAGTGATCTGTAGATTGCATGGAGCAGTATAACTAGTCAGTGGTTCTGGTCTGTGGTGGTGGCTGGCAGCTGTTTTGGGGTTGTGGGGGACAGGTCAGATAAGCTTCTCCATTCATAATCCTCCAGCCCAGTAGGCTTGCAAAATTTGCACCATGCTTGGTTTTCAATTCAGGCTATTTCTAGGTTAATTTCTTAATTGAGCTATTTAGCTCAGCAGAGGACCTGAGATACCACAGATAAGAGAGCGGTTTAGGAGTAAGCATTAAATATCTCTGACTGTGTCTCTTATTATCCTTTCCAGTCCCACTTATCTGAAGAGCCAGATTTCTCAAAGGACAAGTAACCCTAGAGGGGAGTATCAATGGGAAAGCTATGGATTCCTTGCCACATCCCCGTTACAGAACTATGCTTGTTAAGAACAGAATCTCAAGAAAACATATCAAGAGGTTGAATGAAGACATTTCTCTCTTCTGTATTCCTGATCTCCTGGGGTTACAAGAGCACAGGTTTAGGCAAACATAGCCGATTTCTCTCTAAGGTGTCTCTTCACTTCTTGATGCACTGGAGATCCTTGTGGAATAATACATTAGTGATAATGAGTGTTGGGTGCTCACAAATCACCCACAATTCATTGGCTGAAGGCATCTTAAACGTGGACTTTTTGGCTTTTATTGTCTTTAGCTGCTTCTTTTAACATACTTTAGTTTGAGTGTACAGATTTGGGGTTTTCAAACTTGTTTTTAATTAAGGCATGGTTTATTTTTATTGCTTGAGATAAAATGCAGTCTGAGGGTCACAAATGTAATTTACAAAATAAAGTGCATCTGGGCAGACCATAAGAAAAAAAAAGAACAGAAAGCCTAAATAAAGAGTGGGCCAGGATTCTTAAGTTTATTTAGTAACTTCTTGGAGAATAAAAATCCCAGCACCTGCATTATAAAAAAGCACACCTTATAAGTGTCCTTCTCTTCGAAACACCTAAGTGAACTACACTGAATTATGAACTAACTAATGGTTTGTAAAAATTCGCCTTGAGCAAGCTATTGAAGATACTAAATAAACGAGGCTGAGACAGAGTCTGAGGAAACCCAACCTGCTGTTTGTTTTATCAGTAATGTAACTCAAAAGTAGCCAAGCGGATGGCTGGAGTTTTCTCTGTGTTTTGTTTCCCTGGGCTGAGCCTGTGAATGCCAAGATTTAATCTAAAGAGGTTTGTGTTTTAAAAAACTAACAACCAAGTAATAAAACACCTATAAAAACTGTTTATAATGGAACCGGTGACAGTTTGTAGTGTAGTATTACAATTCTTCTGCTCCCCCTCGACCTTTCTCTATCCTTTCATCCAACTCTGTGCCCTTTGTCTAAGTTCCTTTCTCACCTTGCTGCCAAGAAGCTCAGGAGGAGAGGGAGCTCACACCCCAAAGCAGCAGACCATCTTTAAAAAATGAAGTGTGTGTTGTGGTCTGCATTTGAAGACAGGGCTGCGTGTGCTGCTTGTTTTGTCTGAGATAAGGACGAAGATAAGTTGTCCTAACAAAGTACCTACCTAGTTGTACAGTGGTTTCTAATGGGAAGGTGAAGATGCCGCTGCAGTGTCAGTGGCATGAGGCTGCAGGAGTCAACCAGGGCAGGAAGCCTGGGGCCTCCCCTCCCTGGCACCCGGCATAGCCATGCCCAGGCCCAAGATGGCCCTGACTCCAGGGACAGACTTCAGGCAACAGGTGGTTTTCCACCCAGGCCACCATGCCTGAAACTTGGTTCTTTTGCAAAGCCATAGTTCTCCTCCCCCTCTCAAAGAAATGGCGCCTGGGAGGGAAACTTCGTGCTCAAACTCTCTAGGAGCCATTTCTCAGCCCACCTTTCCTATTTTCTGAAGTCTCCCTTGCCAGCATCCCATTCACCTCCGGAAAGAACCAGGGGCGCTCTCTTCAGAGTCCAGAGAGCTCTGGGAGGCATGTGGGCAGCGTCAGAGTGGCCTCGCCTGGGCGGCCAGAGGAGCCCCCAGTCTCCCTCAAGTGGGCCTCAGGAACTCGGGGGGCCCAGGGGAAGCCTGGAAAACCGAACTTCGCCATCAGCCTTCCTTACAGCGCTGGCTAAAAGAGAGGGGGGGAAGGGCCCCCCAGCGGTCTTCCCCGCCCCCCTCCCGCCTCAGCCCCTCTGCCATCCGCCTGCACCGCCCAAGAAAGCACCCAGAACGCGGCTGAGCTCGCCAGCTCCTCGCAGGCAGGGAGAGAGCATCCTGGGGGGCAGCTTCCCCCTCCAGCCCGCGTCTGACATCCCCACTCCCACACAAGGATGCCGCCGCCGTGCCCTGTCCGCAGTCGCTGAATGTCACTGCTCCCTCTTCCTCCCGATCAGGGTAGACACAGCTCCCGAGGCGTCCCCCACCCCAAAACTGCCGCGATCGCCCGAAGGCGCAAAGCCTGGGCGAAGGACGAAGTTTGGGGCCCACAGCGACGGGAGTGGGGACGCGTTGGCGAGGACCGCACCTCAGTCCCAGCCCTGGCGGGCACACTCCCCGCCCCAAACGGCCCAGGCGTCCCCATCCTCCCGCGGACACCAGCGTCTCCGCCCTCCCCCGAGGGCGGCGAGAGGAGCCCCCCGGGGCGGAGGCAGGTACCCCCGGGGCGGAGACTGGGGCGGGCGGGGTCCGGGCTGCGCCCCCGGCCAGGCCGGGCGGGCTGGCGGGCGGCGCGGGGGGAGCGGGGCTGGGCGGCGCTGCCTCGGGCTCTGTGCGCTGCAGCCCGGAGCCGAGGAGGAGGAGGCGGAGGAGGAGAAGGAGGCGGCGGCGGTGGGTCCCGGGCGGGGGGAGCGCGGCGCTGCGGACCCGGGCGGCTGGCAAAGGACGAGGCGGAGGCTGAGGAAGGCAGCGGGGAGACCCAGGCTGCAGCAACAAAGGGCAGCGAGCGATTGGCCGGGCTGCAGGCGAGGTTAGCCGGGGACCCGGGTGGCCGGAGGCAGCGGCGAGCGGTGCACGTGCTTGCAGACACGGGCGAGTGTGGAGCCGGGGGGTGCACGCCCGGTGGGTAGGGGCTTGCTCCCCCGAGGCATGGGATGGCGAGGAGGCTGCAGCGACATCGTTCTGCCTGCACCCGGCCTGGGGCTGGCAGGGTAGGGGTGTGTTGGGGGGGGAAGGATGCGAGCCAGGGGGCGGGCGAGTAGTCGCCCGGGACGGGACGGGACGGGAGAGAGGGTGGAGGAGGGGGCGGGATGGAACGCTCCGGGCGGCGCGCCCGTCCGCACACTCCACCGAAGGAGCTGGCGACTGAGAACCTCGAATTTTAACTTCGCGTGCCCGCCCGCGCGCGCCCGCCCGCGCCCACCCCTAAATCCTGCGGCCGCCGCCAGCGATCAGCTCTCACACAAACTTTAGCTGCGGGCTAGGGGGTTTGGGGTTGAGTGGGGGAGGGGAGAGGGAAAAGGCCTCCTGATTGGCGTCGTCTGCAGCCAATAAGGCTACGCTCCTCTGCTGCGAGTAGACCCAATCCTTTCCTAGAGGTGGAGGGGGCGGGTAGGTGGAAGTAGAGGTGGCGCGGTATCTAGGAGAGAGAAAAAGGGCTGGACCAATAGGTGCCCGGAAGAGGCGGACCCAGCGGTCTGTTGATTGGTATTGGCAGTGGACCCTCCCCCGGGGTGGTGCCGGAGGGGGGGATGATGGGTCGAGGGGTGTGTTTATGTGGAAGCGAGATGACCGGCAGGAACCTGCCCCAATGGGCTGCAGAGTGGTTAGTGAGTGGGTGACAGACAGACCCGTAGGCCAACGGGTGGCCTTAAGTGTCTTTGGTCTCCTCCAATGGAGCAGCGGCGGGGCGGGACCGCGACTCGGGTTTAATGAGACTCCATTGGGCTGTAATCAGTGTCATGTCGGATTCATGTCAACGACAACAACAGGGGGACACAAAATGGCGGCGGCTTAGCTCCTACCCCTGGCGGCGGCGGCAGCGGTGGCGGAGGCGACGGCACCTCCTCCAGGCGGCAGCCGCAGTTTCTCAGGCAGCGGCAGCGCCCCCGGCAGGCGCGGTGGCGGTGGCGCGCAGCCAGGTCTGTCACCCACCCCGCGCGTTCCCAGGGGGAGGAGACTGGGCGGGAGGGGGGAACAGACGGGGGGGGATTCAGGGGCTTGCGACGCCCCTCCCACAGGCCTCTGCGCGAGGGTCACCGCGGGGCCGCTCGGGGTCAGGCTGCCCCTGAGCGTGACGGTAGGGGGCGGGGGAAAGGGGAGGAGGGACAGGCCCCGCCCCTCGGCAGGGCTCTAGGGCAAGGGGGCGGGGCTCGAGGGCGGAGGGGGGCGGGGCGGGATCGGGTGGGGGCGGGGTTCGGGGAGTCGGAAGGCGGGGGCTGAGAGGGAATTTCTGAGTGGGAGTGAACTGGTAGGAGCGGTGGGGGGCCGGCGAGGGTGTGAGGAAGACTAGTGAGGGTTGGGTGGGAGGAGAAGCTGAAGGTGTAGAAGCAGGTGCAGAGGGAGAGTTAGGGAGGGATGCAATTTGAGAGAAGTGGAAGGCGGACCGAGGGGTGTGTGAGGGCAGGTGAGATGATACCGAAGGCGAGATTGCAGTTGTCTGGGCGCAGAGTAGGTGGGTTTGGGTGTGGTGGATGTGGAGTAGAGTTGAAGCGGTGCAGAGTGTTGGGTTTGGGGAGGCGTTGAGGGGTTTGGGGAGGCATTGAGGCGCATGTGAGGAGCAGGTACGATTGCAGTGATGGGAAAGAGGTATCTGGGTGGATCGCATGTTGGAATAAGAAGGAGGTTTGCTAGCTTTGGGGTATGAAGTATTTTTTAAAAACGTGGAAGGATGGGATGGTTGTGCTTGGGAGAGTTTCTGAAAGATGATGCTAAGACAGCAGAGCAAACTTAAATATGAAGGAAGGGGAGAGAGGCTGCTTAGAACTTGCAAAATCTGTGGCAGAAAATCTCCTGGGGACAAGGGATTGGTAGGGGTGGGACAAGGCGGCAGGTGTGAAGAAAGTGGGTGGAGCTGTACAGTAATTTTCGGTGAATGTGATTTGGTGGACTGTGCCAGGGGTGAGGATGGGGCAGAGAAAGGTGTTAGTTTGGGAGACAAGTTGTTTGATAGGCTGTATTTATTATTTTTTATAAAAATGAGAAAAGGGTCTCACTATGTTGCCCAGGCTGGTCTCGAACTCCTGGCCTCAAGTGATCTGCCCACCTCTGCCTGACTGATGGGATTACAGACGTGAGCTATGGCGACCCGTGATACGCTGGATTCATTATGTTAAACTTGATCTGGAGTCTTCAAGGGAGTGTCCGGCAGCAGGGTATCCCAGGAAGAGACATGCACCATACCTTGGGATAGGACATTTTGCATAGCTTTGAATTTGCTAGTACTTTGCTGTGGGCAGAGTGCAGGGAGTGGTAGGAGATGACCAGGCAAAGGCAGAGGAGGGGTTAGATTACAAATGGTGTCCTATGCCCCATGAAGGAGTTTAAGCCCTGTAATTGGTAGAAGGTGTTGGGACGTGTTAAAGAGAGTGTTAGACAGAAGTTGTGAAGGGGTAGTGATAAAGAATTACAGATGTGGGAAATAGGAAATGAAGACCAACGAACCAAGTATGTTTGGGGTTGGAGGTACCAAGGAAATTCAGGGTAGAGCATATGAGGGCCCCTCCTATATGGACAGAAGGTGGAAATAGCAAATGGAAATTAGTTGTGTTCGAACAGTCTTAGTTCTATGGGGCCCCAAGAAGGTTTTTTGTGTTTTTTTTTTTTTAAAGTGCATTCTTCCTGTCTTACTTGTATACCCTAGATTTTTTGGCATAGCCTTGAAATAAAACACTCCATTTTTTTCTTACTCATAAGTTCTTTTTTTTTTTTTTTTTTTTTTTGAGACGGAGTCTCAGTCTGTCGCCCAGGCTGGAGTGCAGTGGCGCCATCTCGGCTCACTGCAAGCTCCGCCTCCCGGGTTCACGCCATTGTCCTGCCTCAGCCTCCGGAGTAGCTGGGACTACAGGCGCCTGCCACCACGCCCCGCTAATTTTTTGTATATTTAGTAGAGACGGGGTTTCACCGTGTTAGCCAGGATGGTCTCGAACTCTTGACCTTGTGATCTGCCCGCCTCGGCCTCCCAAAGTGCTGGGATTACAGGCGTGAGCCACCGCGCCCGGCCATTCATAAGTTCTTTACACATTTATCAGAATGAATTTGGACAGTATTTTATGTTTTTAAGAAGGAAAGGATAATGCACATGTTTTTTCTTTTCCGAGAACTTCTACTGAGAGTTAAAGGTTGGAGTGGTGAAGTGATGGTTTAAAAAAAAAAAAAAAGAAAAGAAAAGAGAGAGACAGAGGAAGATTTTAACATTAAAAGAGGAATTTAGGGAATGGCTGATGGTCATGACACGGTCGGCAGAGGAAGTTTTGCTTACTAGCCACACTTAGGCTTCTGAGTAGAGTGGATATTATGTCATTGCTATTATAGCATGTGTTTATTTCACACACTGCTTTTGAAGATTGGGTGGAAACTGTCAGATGTGAGGCATAGCATGAATGAAAGGTAAATAGCATGAGTATTAGAAAGTAGATGAGGAAGTTTAATAATTTTAATGTGCTTCATAAGCTCTCATGGACTTTCACGTATCAATTAGTAAAAGACGTAACTAAGTGATCTGGCTTTCAGTCTCCTAGTTCTCTACAGTGTACCCTCAGTTTTCCACGTGCTTACACATGCCTACATTTGTACTGAGAGAAAAGGAAATAGTTTTTTTTTTTTTTTTGAGACAGTCTTGCTCTGTTGCCCAGGCTGGAGTGCAGTGGCACGATCTCGGCTCACTGCAACCTCCACCTCCTGGATTCAGGTGATTCTCCTGCCTCAGCTTCCCGGGTAGCTAGGATTACAGACATGTGCCCAGCTAATTTTTGTATTTTTAGTAGAGGTGGGGTTTCGCCATGTTGGCCAGGCTGGTCTCAAACTCCTGACCTCAGGTGATCCACTCACCTCGGCCTCCCAGAGTGCTGGGATTAAATAAATAGTTTTATGTGGCTGGGTGTGGTGGCTCACGCCTGTAATCCCAGCACTTTGGGAGGCCGAGGTGGATGGATCACGAGGTCAAGAAATCAAGACCATCCTGGCCAACATGGTGAAACCCCATCTCTACTAAAAATACAAAAAATTAGCTGGGCATGGTGGCGGGCGCCTGTAGTCCCAGCTGCTCAGGAGGTTGAGGCAGGCGAATCACTTGAACCTGGGAGGCGGAGGTTGCAGTGAGCTGAGATTGCACCACTGCACTCCAGCCTGGCGACAGAGCGAGACTCTGTCTCAAAAAAAAAAAAACAAAAAAAAAAGAAAAATATTTTATGTAAGTAGGGATGTGTAAGCTGTAGTGATCAGTCTTTGTTGCAGAATGGTAAATGATGCGTGGATGAGAGAAGTGGGGTGATGGGATATTTCTTCCCTTTAATGCCTTAATTTGCATTTCCAAAGCACCTTTAAGCATCTTTTTATAGAACTCCCATGATCTTCTGATACCTGTCTTCTCGCAGACCCCAGAAAGAGAATACACCAATTTTCGTATCATCTATTCCATTGTTGCCGAATATTTGAGTTGTTTCAAGTTTGGGGCAATTGTGAACAAAGCTGCTATGAGCATTCCTATACCTGTCATCTGGTGCCCATGTGCACAAGTTTCTCTAAGGTATACACCTAGGAATGAAATTGCCGGTTTATAGCTAGGGTGACCATTTGTCCTGGTTTTTGCTTATTTTCCCAGCGTAACTGTAACACTTTTAGTTTTCAAAAGTATCTAGGGTTAGATGATGAATTGTATGGTCACCTAGTCATAAGGTATGCTTGTCTTCATCTTTACTAAGTACCAAACTCTTCTAAAGTATTGTACCAGGTTACACTCCCTCCAGCAATATATGAATTCCCTTGCTTCTCGCCCTCTCCAATCTCAGCCTTTTTAGCTTTTATGATTTTAGCCAATATGGTAAATTTTGCGTTTACCTGATTAGTAATCAGATTGCACAGCTCTTCATATATATATATATATATATATATATATATATATATATTTTTTTTTTTTTTTTTTTTTTTTTTTTTTTTTTTTGAGACGGAGTTTTGCTTTTGTCACCCAGGCTGGAGTGCAGTGGCGTGATCTTGGCTCACTGCAACCTCTGCTTCCTGGGTTCAAGCGATTCTCCTGCCTCAGCCTCCTGAGTAGCTGGGATTACAGGTGCCCACTACCACAACCAGCTAATTTTTTGTATTTTTAGTAGAGATGGGGTTTTGCCATGTTGGGCAGGCTTGTTTCAAACTCCTGATCTCAGTTGACCCGCCCGTCTTGGCCTCCCAAAGTGCTGGGATTACAGGCGTGAGCCTCTGCACCCGGCCAGCTCTTCATATACTTTTTTAGCCATTTAGATAGCCTCATTTATAAAGTTCTGTTCAAGTCTTTCCCACCCTGCTTTTAAAAGTTGGGCCTTGTATCTTTTATTGCTATTTAGAAGTTCTTTATTTACTGTGAATACAAGTCCTTTGTCATGTGTGTGTGTTGCAAATACTGTGGCTTGCCTTTTCACTCTCTTTATGGTGTCTTTTAATGAACAGAAGTTCTTAATTTTAATGGAGTCAAATTTATTGGTCTTTACTTTATGGTTAGTGCCTTTTGTGTCTTGTTTTAAGACTTTTCCTACCCTGAGGTCAATAAGATATTCTCCTATGCAGTACTATCTTTTTAAAGCTTTGTTGACCTTAAACAATGTATAACTATGAGTAAAATACACTCTTCTTGACCCCAGCCTCACCATTACAATCTATTTTTGCTTTCCTTCACTTTTTTCTGTTCTCTGTCTTGAATTTTTACTTCTCTGCAGCTATAACTAAGAGCCAGGTGCTGACTTCTCCTGTCTCTTAGGAGAAAATGGTCATATAGACAGAAGTTCAGCCAGATTAGATTTTACAGGTCTCCAGCTGACTGTATTGCCCTTTTTCCTTTTATGAGCTAGCATTTTATTGTGTTCCTGCTATGTGTCTGCCATCATCCTTGCTGCTTTCATATTTGTTATCTCAGTGATTCCTCTTAACGGTTCTGTAAAACAGAGAAGTATTCTCATTTTTACAGAAGAGAAAACAGAGACTTAGATTGATTTAGTAGCATGTCCAATATCCCCTAGCCTAGGTAGCTAGCAGAATGGGGACTGGATCCCTGACTCTGATACTTCCCATCACAGCACACCTACTTGTTGATTAAAATGTCAGAAACCTGTTTTTTGATAACATCCAAAACCAAAAAGAATAACTTTCTTACTCTTGATGTAACATGCCTTAAGTAAAGCACACAAAGCTAACTATTGTGAAACTGGATAAAATACCTCTCTGTATATAGCCAGTGGACCTTAAGTGGTCCATGGCTGGATGACAGAAGGTCTGTTAACCCTTAAAAATGTATACCAGTGTATATGGGTACATGTGCTTATTTTTTAGAGTAGAGCTATAATATTTATGAAACTCTCAAAAGGGAACCTGAATTTTTCAGGGTATCTGGATATCTGGTCTGAAGACATCTGTAATACAGTTAACAAAGAATCCTGTAATAATCTCTCTTTCAAAAGAATCATAAAAAAGTTAAGATGTCAGATTTTTCTCAGCCAGGTGCAGTGGCTCATGCCTGTAATCCCACTACTTTGGGAGGCTACAGTGAAAGGATCCCTTGAGCCCTGGAGTTCAAGACATGCCTGGGCAACATAGGGAGACCCCCGCCTCTATTTTTATTTATTTATTTAGATTTTTTGGTATCTTCATTTTATCTTATTTATTTTGTTGAGATAGAGTTTTGCTCTTGTTGCCCAGGCTGGAGTGCAATGGCGTAATCTTGGCTCACTGCAACCTCCACCTCCTGGGTTCAAGCAATTTTCCTGCCTCAGCCTCCCAAAGAGCTGGGATTACAGGCATGCGCCACCACGCCTGCTAATTTTTTGTATTTAGTAGAGATGGGGTTTCACCATGTTGGCCGGGCTGGTCTCAAACTCCTGACCTCAGGTGATCCACCTGCCTTGGCCTGTCGAAGTGCTGGGATTATAGGCATAAGCCACCAAGCCTGGCCTTGTATCTCTATTTTAAAAAGTTTTTTAAAAATCACATTTTTTGGCCGGGCATGATGGCTCATGCCTGTAATCCCAGCACTTTGGGAGGCTCAGGCAGCTGGATCACAAGGTCAGGAGCTCGAGACCAGCCTGGCCAACATGGTAAAACCCCGTCTCTACTAAAAATAAAAACAACAACAACAAACAAACAATGGCATGGTGGCATGTGCCTGTAATCCCAGCTACTCAGAAGGCTGGGGCAGGAGAGTCGTTTGAACCCGGGAGGCGGAGGTTGCAGTGAGCCGAGATCACGCCATTGCACTCCAGCCTGGGCAACAGGGCAAGACTCTGTCTCAAAAAAAAAAAAAAAAAAAAAAAAATCACATTTTTTCCCTTAATACATTATTCTCGGTCTTTGTCATCAAAAACCAACTAAAGCTAATTTGTAATTAGGGAGAAATCTAGGATTGAATAGGAATTTTTAAATGCCAAAAAAAGACACTCTAAATTTAGTTGATTATTTCTTAAGTGAAAGTGCTTAGTTATAATACATCATTACTAATCAGTGTACCCTGGCTCCAAAGACCTGATGACTTCAAATGACTTTTCATCTTGTCTCTAAATTCCTCTGTTTTACAAGGGATCAAATTTCCTGTGAGGTTCCTAACAGTGTGATTAAATTTTAGAGACTGAAACTATTGAGCACTTAAATGCAGGGATAACTATGCAAACCTAATTCATGGGTTTCACCAGGAGATTTGGGACCTGTCTCTACTAATTTATGATGATGATGTTGAAACTAATCTTTGCTAGGGATTATGGAAACCATAATAGTTTATTGATGGTTCAGTTATTGTTTGTTGAAGCACATTTACACAATTATAGTTTAATGACATAACAAGGATATTGTCAACTAGGAGAGCATGACATGAAAAATTAAACTTGCAATTAATATAATATGTATTAGTTGAAATGATAATTTTTATGGTGATTTAGCCTCTTAGAAATCCTTGGAAAACATTATTAGCTTATGAATTGAAAACTCTCTTTGTTAATGAGTAGTGGGAAAGAACTTAGTGTTACTCTAAAAAGATGGGGAATTAAATATTCAGTTCAACCAGCGTTTTATTGAGTGCCTGCTCTGGGCTTGCTGCTGAGTTAGGCTCATAAATATAAGTTGAACAAGATTGATGTTTGCAGAGATGAAATACTGGTTGCTTTTGTTTTTTCTTTCAATCACCCTTCCCTCCAGAGTAGATGGCTACTATTGCCAGAGTGATTCAAACATTCAACAGGTTTGTGTGTGTATGTGCATGCCCTTCCCTGTGCATTATGGTGTCACCTGCTCCTGCAGTGGCTTCCTATTCATCTGTCACGTTCACACACCACAGCTTGGCTTTTTTCACAGCCAACTTTATTTCTGTTTTTTTTTTTTTTGAGATGGATTCTGGCTCTGTTGCCAGGCTGGAGTGCAGTGGCGCGATCTCGGCTCACTGCATCCACCACCTCCGGGGTTCAAGCAATTCCCCTGCCTCAGCCTTCCGAGTAGCTGGGACCACAGGCATGCACCACCACGCCTGGCTAATTTTTTGTATTTTAGTAGAGATGGAGTTTCACCATGTTGGCCAGGATGGTCTCAATCTCCTGACCTCGTGATCTGCCCGCCTTGGCCTCCCAAAGTGCTAGGATTACAGGTGTGAGCCACTGTGCCTGGCCTATTTCTGTTTTTCATTTTTAAATTATATTTGTCTTTTTTAGAGACAGAGTCTTGCTCTATTGCCTAGGCTGGAGAGCAGTGGCACAATCATAGCCCACTGTGGCCTCAACCTCCTGGGCGGCTCAAGAGATCCTCTTGCCTCGGTCTCCCGAGTAGCTGGGTCTACAGGTGTACACCACCACAGCCACCTAATTTTTTATTTTTGTAGAGGTAGGGTCTTGTTGTGTTGCCTAGGCTTGTCTCGAGCTCCTGGCCTCAAGTAATCCTCCTTCCTTGACCTCCCAAAGTGCTGGGATTAGAGGCATGAGCCATTGTGCCTGGCCCAACTTAATTTCTTTATCCCTTTTGAGCATATACCTGTTCTAGTCAGGCACATGGACTTGGTGTCCCTTTTGTTTGACAGCTCATTCTTAGCTTCTGTTATTTCACTTTGATTTCCTTCATTCATTCCCCGATACATTTATTTAGCAAATAGGCATTGAAACCCTCTTATGATCAAGTTGTGGTCTTGGGAAATCTTAGGGTATACAAAGATGAATCAAGCATGAATCCTGTTTTTAAGAATTTTATAGTCTAGTAGGGGTGACAAGGTTAATACACAAGTAAGCATAATACTAAGTGGGAAATGAATGTCAAAACAGTAAAAAAGCTAAAAGCTTCCTGTTAGACAAAGATGTTTGGGGCTTTTGAGAAGTTGTTTGCACTGGGCCATGAAGGATTTGAATTTGGGCAGAGGGACGGTGGGGCACTTATCCAGGCTCAGCATTATCTTTCAAGGTTCAGTTTCAGTCCCATCCATCCAAGAGATGTTCATCCATCCTCCACGTGGTTTCAGCAAGGTAGTATAGTCACAGTTGTTTCCAGACTTCTTCCTTCTGTAATCAGAGGAACACTTCCTTTAAAGCGAATCTTATGGGGAAGACAAATATATGTAAAACAGTTAAAGTGGAGCTGCACTGTTGGGTTCAAGGTGCTGCAATGGCCCAAAGTTTAACCCACAAGGGGTACCTGAAGGTAATACCCGAAGTAACTCCTTGTCACAGAGATCTAAAGAGCCTAGTTTGAAAACCTCTGGAGAGACAGAAAGAGTTTGGGCTTTGGCATCTGAATTAAAATCCTTCATGACTTAATGGCTCTGAGATCTTGGCTAAGTCAAGCCTGTTTTCCTTTTGTAAAAACAACAATGCTACCTTACAGAGTTGTTTTAAAGTTTACTGATAATCTATGTAAAGTACCTGGACCACAGTAGGTGTCAGGAAATGGTTGGTATTATTATTATTATTATAGTTTAGTGCTTTGTTATTTCTTTTTTTTTAAACAATTTATTGAGGTGAAACTCACATAACATAAAATGAAAAAACCATTAAAAAGTGAACAAATCAGTGGCATTTAGTACATTCAGTGTTGTGTCACCACTGCCACTATCAAGTTCCAAAACATTTTTATTGATCCCAAATAAAACCCCTTACCCATTAAGCAGTTTCTCTAGATATGTCCCTGAGACTCCACCAATCTGTGTTTTGTCTATGGATTTATCTATTCTGGATGTCTCATATGAATGAAATTATATGATGTGTGGCCTTTTGTGTCTGGCTTCTTTCACAGCATAACGTGTTTGAGGTCCATCTACATTGTAGTAGCATGTATCGAAACTTCATTGCTTTTTATAGTTGTATAGTATTCTAGTGTATGGATATACCACAGTTTATCTGTTCATCTGTTGATGGACATTTGGGCTGTTTACACCTTTTGGCTACTGTGAATAGTTTTGTTATGAACATGGGTGTACGTGTACTTATTTGAGTATCTGTTCTCAATTCTTTTGAGTCTATACCTAGAAATGGAATTACAGAACCATATGGTAATTCTGTGTTTAACTTTTTGAGGAACCGCCAAACAGTGCTTTGCTATTTCTTAATTGCTTCTTATATGTTCTGTCTCTAGCTTTGCTTTGTATTCCCCATAGTACCTACCACAGGGCTGCATGCAGGGAGCATCAGCTCGCTAAATATTTGTTGGTTTTTCTTTGATTAGTATTTATAACCTCACCTCCCAGTTCACATGTTTTGGGCCTGAAGCATTGATTTCAGAGGAAATAGATGCATCCAGGATTTGAAAGATAAGAAATATCACCATATGGATGGCGTTTCATGTTGTCAGACAACAGATATTTGTTAACCAAGGACACTATTTTGAGCAACTCTGCCAATAACCTGAGCTGGGTGCTGATAGAAGAAAAATAAGTCAAGGTCCCTTCCCCTAAACAGTTCTGTTCTGTTTCGGAAGATACTGCTTAGATTTGTGGATGCTCACTCAGTTACACAATGGGCTTTGAAAAAATCCAGGTTTTCCAACAGTGATCCCTTTGGGGAAAAAAAAGAAAGAAAAAGCCAGGACTTATGAAAGTAAAATAGTTAAAAATAACTGTTAGCAAGTAAAACTCAGGATGACAAAAGTGTAAACTCTATTATTAATCTTTGTTTTTTTCTACCACTGTTTTTTGCCTCATCCATAATCTCATGACTTGAGTGTTATGACATTGATTTTGAAACAACACACACAGCTTTAGTAAAAGCTTAGAGGAGGCCTCGCATAATACTTATGATCCAGGATATTTTGACTCTTCTTATGCTGACATGAATATTTCTGAATAGTGTTGATGTTTATGTAATACCAGTGAAGCTAAAAGCTCAGTGCTGGACTAAGCATTTCTCTAGATATGTTTAGAATATTTGTAATGAATGATGTAAATAGTGTTATATTATAAGACCGTATGATACAACCATATAATTTACTGATATTTTGTAGTTAAAAATAAAATGATTCACAACCTTAGAAAATAGAATAATTTAATTTGATGTAGCACAAATCCCCAGAATTAATTTAGGATGATTTGCTACCTTTTTGATAGCCTTTTAGTCCAACCTTCAAGTTTTTATAGAAAAAAAATGAAAAGAGAATAATGATTTTAGGGTTTTCGCTTGTGATAGAATGTCCTATCTACATGTGAAGCAAATCCCCATGCTCTGAAAAAGAGAAATAGTGTGGATAATTCCAAATCAGGAAAAAAAAAATCATTTCTATTTGGCTTTTGAATGAATTATGCATTTTTTTTTCCTGTGGATTTGTCTTTCCAGTTAGATACTGCTTAGGCTAAAATGAAATTGGTTTTCAATCTATTCTCTTGCTTATATGAATTTACAGTGGGGCCAGTGGGATGTTGGAAACAAATCAGCCTAAGATTAAAAAATTTGCGGTGGATAATATACAAAGTGGATAATATACATGTGTTTAGTTGAGAATTGGCTACAGATAAGAGACTTCTGATTTTGTTCCTCTCCTAGCTGTGTATTTTTTTTTTTTTTTTGAACACTGTGATTCTGCTTGTAGCAAAGAGCTGCTGAGTTACATCTGCTTCTGCCTAATTAACTCTGTTGGTTGGTGTCAGATGAGAGCTAATTTTGAGATTAAATCGAGGAGTGGGGTGTGTGTCGTGGCTGGGGGAGGGGAGAAGGAGGATCCAAGGTTGCTTGATTGTTTTACGTAAGATCAAAATGCAGTTATTCACAATTGTTCTTTTAAATTTATTTTTTGCTTTTCAAGTAAAAATAATCACTGCTGTCCTAAAATGTGACTTGTGTCAATACATATTTACTATTATGTAAACTGGTACGTTTTTCTTGTAGGTGAGCTTATTGGTCATATCTGGGTAGTCCATTCAGTACCTAGGTGCCTGGTGGCCTTTGGGACAAACAGCGAATGCTGCCCAGGAATGTGAATGCTGACCTTAAAACAACTTTTGACTGTCTTTTTTTCTGATAAATGTTATATCTGTTTGGCTATTTGAGTAGTAGTGGGTTTTTGTTTTTGTTTTGTTTTTCCATGATGAGATTTTTTCTTAGGAATCTATCACAAACCTGATTTTTAAAATTTGAACAGGTCTGGGCTTAGGGATGAAATTTACTTCTATAGGCACTTGGCTGGGTCCTTGGGGCTTCATTTTCTGTCTCAAGTTTCATATTTATAAGAATCCTTCAGTGGTCTAAAAGAATTATTATATCACCAAATGTAGTATAATAACTCATTGGAGCTGTTTGTCTTGAATGGTTGTGGAGATACACGGATGGTTGCTGAATTTAAGGATGTCCTTATGTCCAAATGAACATTTCCTTTTTTCTTTTGGCAGATTTGCCTGAAGACCTGGATAATCTCCATTTTTGTCATGGACTGTTAAAACGTTTGAAGTTCCAATTCTGGTACTTTCCCTTATTTTATTACATTTTTAAGGTATAAAATGACAATCTTATTGAAATGTGTTGGTAATGGATATAAACAATTGTTTTATGGATATAAATGATTGTGGGTAAAGATTTGTGGGCTGGGTGCAGTGGCTCACGCCTGTAATCCCAGCACTTTGGGAGGCCGAAGTGGGCGGATCACGAGATCAGGAGTTTGAGTCCAGCCTGGCCAACATGGCAAAACCCTGTCTCTACTAAAAATTCAAAAATTAGCTGGGCGTGGTGGTGGGCACCTGTAATCCCAGCTACTTGGGAGGCTGAGGCAGGAGAATTGCTTGAATCTGGGCGGTGGAGATTGCAGTGAGCCGAGATCATGCCATTGCACTCCAGCCTGGGCGACAAGAGCAAGACTCTGTGCCCCCCAAAAAAAAAAAAATGATTGTGGTAAAAGCTTGTCATGAAGGTATATTTTAGGTATCTATTAGTTATGAAACACATTTTTTTTTTTTTTTTGAGATGGAGTTTCGCTCTTGTTGCCGAGGCTGGAGTACAATGGCGCAATCTCGACTCACTGCAACCTCTGCCTCCTGGGTTCAAGCGATTCTCCTGCCTTAGCCTCCTGAGTAGCTGGGATTACAGGCGCATGCCACCATGCTTGGCTAATTTTTTGTATTTTTAGTAGAGACGGGGTTTCACCATGTTGGCCAGGCTGGTCTTGAACTCCTGACCTTGGGTGATCCACCCGCCTTGGCCTCCCAAAGTGCTGGGATTACGGGTGTGAGCCACCACGCCCGGCTATGCATTTTGTTTTAATGTACGTTCGTTTGCTTGTGTAACAAAACACCTAAAAGCAACTTGGCAATATTGGGCACTTTTCCTGTGACCTCTTCTACTTTCTGCAGTTGTATTTTGTGCAATCAAATTAAATTAGTTGTGATTCATCCTGAATAAATGATGAAAGATTAAATAATTACTTGGATACAGTGAAATATCTTCTAATGAAATTTTGCCCGAAACCATTTTACTTGGGAAAGATCAATTTCCTGTTCTAAACTAACTGACAGAGAATGATTCTGTGTTCTATCCTGAAAGTGGTTGCACTGTGAAAGCCAGTGATTTCATTCCTAAACACACTGTGTTCCAAGTCTAACATTTTTGTCAAGGGTTTATATAATGAAACAAAAGTGAGTACTTATTAGATTTGTAGATGACATAGATGACAGAATCAAGATTCAAAACAATCTTTAGCAGGTTGGAAGATAGGCTTAAATCAACGAGATGAAATTGAACGGTAATAAACGTTAAATTGCAGCATTTCAATTTGCAGAAGGAAAGGGGTGGAAAGACTCAACTTGACAGCACTTTTTGAAAAAAGATCTGGGATTTTTAGTTGGACTGCATGCTCACCATGACCACTTGTGTGGCAGGGGTATTGAGGAAGTTCCTGTAATTTGGGTTGCATTTATAATTGGATAATGCCTGAACTGTCATATTTTAAGATGGCCAATAGCCAAACTAGTGAGCAACCAAGAGAAAGTGGTGCTTTGAAACAATGTGATATGTGGAAGGGTTAAGAAACTGGGATATGAGTGGTCTAAGTTATGGCTGGAGGTAGCATGGGGTTTTGTCGTTAGTGGTTTTCAAAAGGTACTTGTTTTTGGACATTTGAAGGCCTCTCATACTGAAGAAATACTAAGAATTGTCTTGGGATCCTTCCAGGGAATAGGACTAGTTAGGAATAGGAATAGGGTCGAAGTTATGGGGTGGCAGATTTTTGCTTCTCTGAGCAAGAAATTTAGCTAGAGCTGTGCAACAGTGGGGTGAGCTGCCTCAAAAAGTGACAAATTATCAATCACTGGAAGTATTTTAAAAATGTAAAGACTCATTGCCCATCTATTTGGGATATTGGGCAGGGATCTTTTATTGGATAACTAGAGGTTGGACTGGATGACCTTCAGCCCCAAGTTTCTGAATCTGAGGGGAGAATGAGTAGAGTGAATTTACAGCTTACTGATCACAGGGACAATCTTGTTTAAATTGCCTCCTTTAAGGTGGCATTTTGGGTTGGCATTTAAAACTGTACTGTTTGAACAAGTATAGTTCAATGACCCAGCTGTTTTTCAGCAACATTCCAGGATCTCTGAGAGCAAATACTATATTCTTCAGTATGTCTGGCTAAAGTTTTTAAGGAAAGATATTATTTTCTTCTCTTAGGTATAGTCTGTCTAAATAAATAACCAGAGATAACTTTAATTTTGTATTTTGTTATAAAAATTTCAAAGTATATAGATGTTGCATTTGATGAAAGTGATAACTATATATTGAATATTAGATAATGTGTTTATTTAATCCTCTCAGTAGTCCTGTAAGGGATATACCAGTATTGCCTACAAGTAAAGTGATGGAAGCTTAAGTTATCCAGGGTTCCTCCACTGGACATTGTGGTAGGGCTGGGGTTCAGACCCAGGTTGGTCTCTTTGCAGAGGCAGAACTAGCTAGAGCAGGCAGTTGTGGCTCAGGTGAGAACAGTGATGGACTTAGTTGGATTTTAGAATTGGCTGGGCACAGTGGCTTACACCTATAATCCTAGCACTTTTGAGAGGCCGAGGTGGGCTGAGGTCAGGAGTTTGAGACCAGCCTGGCCAAAATGGCAAAACTCCATCTCTACTAAAAATACAAACATTAGCTGGGTGTGGTGGCACATTCCTGTAATCCCAGCCACTTGGGAGGCTGTGCAGGAGAATCGCTTGAACCCAGAAGGCAGAGATTACAGTGAGCTGAGATTGCGCTATTGCACTCCAGCCTGGGTGACAGAGCGAGACTCTATCTCAAAAAAAAAAAATTAATAAAAAAAATTAATGATGTTCGACCCTTTAATCTGTTATTGACTCTTCCCTTGGGTGAATTCCATCTTCTCCCGAGCCTCAGTTTACCCACAAAGTTCTGCAGTTTAAGTGACAAGTTATATGTGAGCACACTCTGTACAGTTTAAACTATAAAAAGAATTAAGAAGTGGATGTTATCATTGGACACCAAGATTAGAGCTCAGGTTTGGCCCAATTCCCAGGCCAAGGCTCTTTCTCCTTGTAGCCTCTTTGTAGATGTACTCAATACCAGATTGGAGATCTAGGGTGGTTTTTGTATATACCAAGCATCTCTCAGAACAAATGCCACTGTCCACCTGGAATCAGATTTGTATATATCTTCTTTGTACTGAGCTGTTTAATGAGCTAACTGGGTATTAAGATAACTAGAATGCTCTACTACTTAAAGGTGAAGGGTTATGTTACTGTATTATTTTCAGTTTTCCAATTTGTGGGTTAGAGGGTATCATAGACCTCTGTTAAAGGGATGGGGATGTGATTCCATAGAAGTAGCTAGATGGGAAGTTTTTTTACGTATGAGACTTGGGAAATACAATACCTAGCTGAAAGCTGGATTATTTACTCTTTTTTTTAAGTTTAAGATTTTTTGAAATAAGTTTAATGTACTTTCATCAGATTTTTTATATCATAGACTTATTCTTTGATGTGTATTTTATGTTTATGGCAGACATATACCTCAAACCACTTTCATATAATTTTGTTAATTTCAATAAATATAATTAAATGTATAATTTAGATGTGATTATGCCTCATAAATGACTTCATATAGAGAAGTGAAACATTCTAAAAACAATTTCTTCTCAGACTGTGACCCAATTTCTTGTTGAAAAATATAGTCACTGTGGCTGTGTTATGTAATACCTGCCTGTCATTACTTCTTGTGGTCATTCTGTGTCTGAAAAAGTCATGCTAAAGAATCTTTTAGTTTATTTGTGTAAGCTTCATTATTAAGAGACTTTCCCCTCTTTTTATCCTTTAAGGTCTTGATTTCCCAGTTAAAGATGTTCTTCACCCGAATGCAGTCTTTCCTGTTGGTAAAATAAGACAACCATCAACATTGCCTGTTTGTCTGCTTTTGAATCTCTTAAGGATGGATGTTTGTAAGATGTTGCTTAATACAGTCTGGAATACTCTGTCCATTTGTTGAATTGTAAATGACTTTCAAATGTGCAAGTTCTGTTAAATACAAAGAGAACCTCTATGGGTAACTTTTGTGTTGAAGAAGTCATTTGTCAACCATGGTAAAACTTGCAAACCCACTTTATACAGAGTGGATTCTTGAAGCTATACAGAAAATAAAAAAGCAAAAGCAAAGGCCCTCTGAAGAGAGAATCTGCCATGCGGTCAGTACTTCCCATGGGTTGGATAAGAAGACAGTCTCTGAACAGCTGGAACTCAGTGTTCAGGATGGCTCAGTTCTCAAAGTCACCAACAAAGGCCTTGCCTCCTATAAGGACCCAGACAACCCTGGGCGCTTTTCATCAGTTAAACCAGGCACTTTTCCTAAGTCAGCCAAGGGGTCTAGAGGATCATGTAATGATCTCCGCAATGTGGATTGGAATAAACTTTTAAGGAGAGCAATTGAAGGACTTGAGGAGCCGAATGGCTCCTCCCTGAAGAACATAGAGAAGTATCTCAGAAGTCAAAGTGATCTCACAAGCACCACCAACAACCCAGCCTTTCAGCAGCGGCTGCGACTGGGGGCCAAACGCGCTGTGAATAATGGGAGGTTACTGAAAGACGGACCGCAGTACAGGGTCAATTATGGGAGCTTAGATGGCAAAGGGGCACCTCAGTATCCCAGTGCATTCCCATCCTCGCTCCCACCTGTCAGCCTTCTACCCCATGAGAAAGACCAGGTAAGCGAAGGAGTAATGTTCGTGCATTCTCACTACTGTCCTTTTGTCTTTTACGGTTTCACTTAAGTTTTATGTGGACAAAAGTTCTGAATAAAGTTTGATAAAATTGAATGTTTTGCCTTAGAGCAGGCTTTTGTATTTTAAAATGTATATATTGTACTGCATTGTGTGGAGGACTTCCTCACTGGTTGGCCAAGAATTTAATGGAAGAGTCATGTGGTTTGTTTTTAAGCTCTAATTGCTAACTGGTTGGTGTCTGAAGGGACCAGGAAGGATAATATTGATCTTTCTTCATCCAGGCAGGGTCATATATATTTCAGAAATCTACGAAAAGGCCATCGTATATTTTTCTCTTTATTACTATTTTCAAAGAAGAATCTACAGACTTCTTATTTTACTATTATTATTTTTTTGAGACAGAATCTAGCTCTGTCGCCTAGGCTGGAGTGCAGTGGCGCAGTCTTGACTCACTGCAACCTCTGCCTCCCAGGTTTAAGCGATTCTCCTGCCTCAGCCTCCCAAGTAGCTGGGATTACAGGCACCTGCTACCACACCTGGCTAATTTTTGTATTTTTAATAGAGACAGGACTTCACCATCTTGGCCAGGCTGGTCTCAAGCTCCTGACCTCAAGTGATGCGCCCGCCTCGGCCTCCCAAAGCGCTGGGATTAGAGGCGTGAGCCACCATGCCCAGCTAGACTTCTTATTTTAATGGTGATAATCTATGCTTTTTTTTTTGAGATGGAGTTTTGCTCTTGTTGCCCAGGCTGGAGTGCAGTGGCACAATCTCGGCTCACTGCAACCTCTGCCTCCCGGGTTCAAGTGATTCTTCTGCCTCAGCCTACCTAGTAGCTGGGATTACAGGCACATGCCACCATGCCCAGCTAATTTTTGTATTTTTAGTAGAGACCAGGTTTCACCATGTTGGCCGGGCTAGTCTCGAACTCCTGACTTCAGGTGATCCACCCGCTTTGGTCTCCCAAAGTGTTGGGATTACAGGCGTGAGACACCATGCCTGGCTGATAATCTATGCATGTAAGAAGTTATTTTAATACGTCACCTAAATCCCTCATTTCAATAAAAAGTCATTTTTTATTGTCCACTTCTCTGTGTTGTAGGTGAATGTTTATTTTGTCTCATACAGTATCTTTTTAAAATACTCTGATTTCTTGGGCCTTATGTTATTTCTATAGTATTTATAAATATATGGCAGAATTCTCCTTACATTACTGCTACCACTTTAAGTTTTTGGTTGAGTAAGATTTGTCTTTGTTTCAAAGCTACAGTATTTACTTCCCAAACTAAACACAAAGTAGAGCAGCAGAAAGTTATTTATAGTTCATGTCTAGTTTTGGGGTTTATTCTCTGTCTTTTGGGTGAGCAGATATATTGATATCAGTTAATTTTATTAATACATGTTATAAAACATTAATCATTGTTGATAGAAAGGTGGTTTTGGCTGGGCAGGGTGGCTCCTGCCTGTAGTCCCAGCACCTTGGGAGGCCAGGGTGGGAGGATCACTTGAGCCCAGGAGTTCAAGACTAGCCTGGGCAACATAGTAAGACCCCTGTCTCTACAAAAAAATCAAAGAATTAGCCAGGCTTGGTGAAGCACATGTGTAGTCCCAGCTACTTGGGAGGCTGAGGTGGGAGGATCACTTGAGCATGGGAGGTAGAGGCTGCAGTGAGCCTTGATTGTACTCCAGCCTGGGTGATAGAGTGAGATCCTGTCCCAAAGATAAAGAAAGGAAGAAAGAAAAGGTGGTTTTGGCCAGGCACAGTGGCTCATGCCTGTAATCCCAGCACTTTGGGAGGCTGAGGTGGGCCAATTGCCTGAGTTTGAGACCAGCCTGGCCAACATGGTGAAACCCCATCTCTACTAAATATACAAAAAAATTAGGCAGGCGTGGTGGGGGGCACCTGTAGTCCCAGCTATTTGGGAGGCTGAGGCAGGAGAATCCCTTAAACCCGGGAGGCAGACGTTGCAGTGAGCTGAGATTGTGCCACTGCACTCCAGCCTGGGTGACAGAGCGAGACTCTGTCTCAAAAAAAAAAAAAAAAACAAAAAAAAAAAGAAGGAAAGAAATGGTGGTTTTATTCATGGTTTACTGCAGCCTTGACCTTTTGGGATCAAGTGTTCCTCCCAAGTAACTGGGAATACAGGTGTATGCCACCATGCCCAGCTAAGTTTTTAAATTTTTTGTAGAGATGGGGTTTTGCCATGTTGCCTGGGCTAAGTACAGTTTAGAAACAATTGAAACATGCATGTTAGGAAAAGTTATGCTCCTCTTGTTTGGATACCATGAACCCTTGAAATGGAACCTGTTTTCCTCAATGCTTTAGATCAGATCAGCCCATGGAAAGGCAAACCACCTGGTCCTACAAATTGGATAGGACCAGGTGGTTTGCCTTTCCATGGGCTGATCTAAAAGGCTGGAGTGCAGTGGTGTCACCTCGGCTCACTGCAACCTCCACCTCCCGGGTTCAAGTGATGCTCTCACCTCAGCCACCCGAGCAGCTGGGACTACAGGTGCACACCACCACGCCCGGCTAATTTTTGTACTTTTTGTAAAGATGAGGTTTCTCGATGTTGCCCAGGCTGGTCTCGATCTCCTGGGCTCAAGACATCCTTCCGCCTCGGCCTCCCAAGGTGCTGGGATTATAGGCATGAGCCACTGTGCCTGGCCAACATTTATTTGTTAACTATATTTTTATTTTGTTAGTCTTCTGCCACATTTATTTGATCCTTAGGTGGTTGTTGTGTTTGTGTAACCAACCTCTAGTTCTCTGTGGCAGAATGTGGGCATAAAGAAAGAAGTAAAGTTATGAAATTTTCTTCTTAATAACATTTGTTTAAAAGAAAATACAAAAAGCCACTTAAATCCTAATTCATATGTCTGACACAGCCAAATCAGGGACCTCTGTTTTTAATTAAATACATATGTATATATATATTTTTGTTTTGTTTTTTTGTTTTTTTTGAGATGGAGTCTTGCTCTGTCACCAGGCTGGAGTACAGTGGCATGATCTTGGCTCACTGCAGCCTCTGCCTCCCAGGTTCAAGTGATTTCCTTGCCTTAACTTCCCGAGTAGCTGGGACTACAGGAGCGTGCCACCATGCCTGGCCAATTTTTTGTATTTTAGTAGAGACGGGGTTTCACCATGTTGGCCAGGATGGCCTCAATCTCCTGACCTCATGGTCCACCTGCCTTAGCCTCCCAAAATGCTGGGATTACAGGCGTGAGCCACTGTGCCCAGCCTTAATTAAATATTTTTTATAAAAGCTTATACTGTGAAGAAATTCCTTAAGGGACTATAGAGCCATTTCTTGATGGATTTGGATATCTTTGTTTTTAAAAATATGTACACTACCCTAAGGTATGTTAAGGTTTTATAATGAACAGGTACGTGGACTAATTCAGGTAGCTTTAGGCAATTTAATAGTATGTTTCAATAATTTTGTGATCCAGGGGATACTTTTTACTTGTGATGGAAGAGTCAGTACAAATTTTCCACAGTATCTTCTGATCCTTCGCTTTAACCTTGCCCGTCATTTCTTGCCAACCTTATCATATTTTTTTCAGGCAGCATCTGTACAGAAGTATTTTTAGTCTAAAGGAAAATTCATGTCTGAAAGTGTCTAGGATTGAGAGCAGAGTAATTTATTGCTTAGCAGGCAATTGTTACTGCTCTTTTTATGATGCTGATCTTTAAATTGTTTAGTTAGCATCATGCTATAATGAGGAAAGCTGAGAAATGTTTTCTAGAATTTTTACTTGATGAAATTTGGAGACTAATTCTATTAAGTAATCATTTGATTCTTAAAAAACAAAAATAAATAAAAATCAGTTTAAACAAAGTTGGCAACATGTTTGTATTCTTTAATGAAATAGCATTTTTTTCCAGCTGGGTGCAGTGGCTCATGCCTGTAATCCCAGCACTTTGGGAGGCCGAGGTGGGTGGATCACCTGAGGTCAGCAGTTCAAGACCAGCCTGACCAACATGGAGAAACCTCGTCTCTATTAAAAAAATACAAAAGTAGCCGGGCATGGTGGTGCATGCCTGTAATCCCAGCTGCTGGGGAGGCTGAGGCAGGAGAATTGCTTGAACTTGGGAGGCAGAGATTGCAGTGAGCCGAGATTGCGCCATTGCATTCCAGCCTGGGCAACAAAAGCGAAACTCCATCTCAAAAAAAAAAATAAATAAATAAAATAGCATTTTTCCTTAAAAAATGTGAGAAAATTACAACATAATATATTACCCTTTGAAATTAAAAGTGATTTAATAGTTTAAAACCATGTAAACTCGCTAAGTAAATTTAATAGAAATTCTTAGCCCGGGATCCACAAATGAACTTGGGTGGGTATCCCACAAATCCTCTGAAATAGAGTGTGAAGTCATGTGTGTGTATCCATGTTTTTCTTTTTTTTTCTTTTTCTTTTTCTTTTTTTTTTTTTTTGAGACATAGTTTCACTCTTGTCACCCAGGCTGGAGTACAATGGCACAATCATGGCCCACTGCAACCTCTGTCTCCCAGGTTCAAGTGACTCTTCTGCCTCAGCCTCCCTAGTAGCTGGGATTACAGGCGTGCGCCACCATGCCTGGCTAATTTTTGCATTTTCAGTAGAGACGGGGTTTCACCATGTTGGCCAGGCTGGTCTTGAACTCCTGACCTCAGGTGATCCACCCACCTCAGCCTCCCAAAGTGCTGGGATTATAGGCATGAGCCTCTGTGCCTGGCCTCCACATGTTTTTCTATGGCTAGGGTCTATAGCAAGCTTGTCCAACCCATGGCCCATGGGCTAGATGCGGCCCTGAATGGCTTTGAATGCAGCCCAACACAAATTCGTAAACTTTCTTAAAACATAAAGAGATTTTTGGCTTGCGGCGTGGTGGCACACGCCTATAATCCCAGCTACTCAGGAGGCTGAGGCACAAGAATTGTTTGAACCTGGGAGGCGGAGGTTGCAGTTAGCTGAGATTGAGGCACTGCACTCCAGCCTGGGCGACAGAGCAACACTTCGTTTCAACAACAACAACAAGAACAACAACAACAACAACAACATTTTTTTGTGGTTTTTAATTTTTTTTTTTTTAAGCTCACTAGCTATTGTTAGTGTATTTTATATGTGGCCCTAGACAATTCTTCTTCCAGTGTGGCCCAGGGAAGCCAAAAGATTGGACACTCCTGGTCTACATCTTTTGTCAAAGGCACCCAAAATGCCTAGTAGCCATTTTAAAATAGTTTGAGTTTCTTATACTAAATCATAGTATGCTAATTGTCGACCTATGATGATTCTTCCTTTGGCTGCTGAACTTGGATTCATATGTAGATTGATTGTACTATAATTTCCTATATATAAGACTTTTTCTAATATATTTGAAAAGATTATCATTGTTCTTGATGTGCTTGAAGTCATAGGATTTGCCTTGCATTGTGGGAGGAAATTTATGATATAAGTGAAAACAGTTCAGAAATGGAGTGATCTCAATTACAATCTAGTCAACTAATGCCTTTTTTTTGAGACAGAGTGTCACTGTGTCACCCAGTCTGGAGTGCAGTGGCATGATCTTGGCTCCCTGCAACCTCAGCATCCCAGGTTCAAACAATTCTTGTGCCTCAGCCTCCCGAGTAGCTGGGATTACAGGTGTGTGCCACCACACTGGGCTAATTTTTGTATTTTAGTAGAGATGGGGTTTCATTAATGTTGGCCAGGCTGGCCTTGAACTCCTGGCCTCAAGTGATCCGCCTGCCTTGGCCTCCCAAAATGCTGGGATTATAGACGTGAGCTACTATGCCCCATGCCTGGCCTAACTAATGACTTTTTTTTTTTTGAGATGGAATCTCACTCTGTCATCCAGACTGGAGTACGCTGGTGCCATCTCAGCTCACTGCAACCTCCGCCTCCCAGTTCAAGTGATTCTCCTGCATCAGCCTCCCAAGTAGCTGGGATTACAGGCACGCACCACCAAGCCCGGCTAATTTTAGTATTTTTAGTAGAGACAGGGTTTCACCATGTTGACCAGGCTGGTCTCGAACTCGTGATCTCAAGTGATCCGCCTGCCTTGGCATCTCAAAGTGCTAGGTAGGATTACAGGCTTGTGAGCCACCGTGCCTGGCCATGACTTTCAAGAAGCTGTTTATTCTGGTTACTTTTTTGAGCAGTTACATTAAATGTAAAACAAAATAAAAATAGTAAGAATAATAACTAACGTTTTGTAAGTGTTAAATGCTGGCACTATTCCAAGTGCTTTACATTTATTATCTCCTTGACTTGTCACAATAACTGCAAGGGAGGTAGATTATTACCCTTATTTTACAGATGAAAAAATGAGGCTGAAAGCTTAAGTGATTTGCCCAAGGTCACTGATAGAGCTAGTGAGTGGTGAAGCCAAGATTCTGACGAGACAGTCTGACCTCAGAGCTCTTTACCACTGGGCAGTACACTGGTCAACAGTGGTGGCTTTTTTTTTTTTTTTGAGACAGAGTCTCGCTCTGTCGCCCAGGCTGGAGTGCAGTGGCATGATCTCGCCTCACTGCAAGCTCCGCCTTCCGGGTTCACGCCATTCTCCTGCCTCAGCCTCCTGAGTAGCTGGGACTACAGGCGCCCACCACCACGCCCGGCTAATTTTTTGTATTTTTAGTAGAGACGGGGTTTCACCGTGTTAGCCAGGATGGTCTCAATCTCCTGACCTCGTGATCCACCTGCCTCGGCCTGTGGTGGCTTTTTATTAACAGTAAAAGTATCTCTTCCAGTTCTTCAAATGATTAGAAGCAGTTTTGCCCCAACAAATAGATTTCCAGCATTTTAAATTTGGTAGATGCAATGAGCTTATTATAGTTTTTAAAGTAGATACTATTTATAATATTAGCAATATGGAAAGGCAGTAGAGAAAGTAGTAAGTCTGTGTCTAATTAGATTGAACATCATCATCATTCCGATGCATGACTGCTAGGAGGAATACAATGCAAGTTAAAATAGAAGGGCTCCTTCCTTTCTGAAATGTAATTGCACATCTTCTGATAGTCTGGAATTCAAATTGGGTATTACCACACTGGCTTCTTAGCATAAATTCTTTGTATTTATTTAAGAAAGCTCTCTTCGGTGAGGTGATATGGAAATGAATTAAACCACTGAAGATAAAACTTTATCTTTGACTTGGTGAGGGAACTCCTAAAGGATAGTATTAATGTTTCTCATTAAAAGTAGTAAAGCTCAATTAGGTCAGATTATGAGGACTTTGGAAAGTCACATATTCTAAGAGAGACTTCCATTATCACTGCGCACTTTGTAGCATTAAGATTCCATTTGAACATTTGAGCTTTAGCATTTTTATAAAATCAGTTTAGTTCCATTTAAAATAAATTCCATAGTATTTCACTTTAGTGAGAATGTCTTCATAAAATTTATTAAGTGTCAAGTCTTGGTCTGTTTCCAGTGTAGTACATAATGTGGGAATTCTCATTCTAGGTTGGCATCGTAATTGGAAGGTGGGACACTTTCAGTATCAAGTAGGGCTTCTGATGTTTTTTCTGTTGAAGAAATATTTGTATTAGAATCTTACAAAAAGCCTTCAAACATAAACAAAATTACAAAAACAGTGATACTGTCAATAAGAAAAAAATCAAAATGATTTTTTTTTTTTTGGATACAGAGTCTTGCTCTGTTGCCCAGGCCGGAGTGCAGTGGCGCAATCTCGGCTCACTGCAGCTGCCGCCTCTCGGGTTCAAGCGATTCTCCTGCCTCAGCCTCCTGAGTAGTTGGGGATTACAGGCATGTGCCACCATGCCCGGCTAATTTTTGTATTTTTAGTAGAGACAGGGTTTCACCATGTTGGTCAGGCTGATAAGAATGATTTTTTTTTTTTTTTTTTGGAGATGGAGTCTTGCTATGTTGCCAGGCTGGAGTGCAGTGGCGCGATCTCGGCTCACTACAACCTCCGCCTCCCTGGTTCAAGCAATTCTCCTGCCTCAGCCTCTGGAGTAGCTAGACTACAGACGTGCACCACCACGCCCAGCTAATTTTTGTATTTTTAGTAGAAACGGGGTTTCACCATATTGGCCAGGATGGTCTCAATCTCTTGACCTAGTGATCCACCTGCCTCGGCCTCCCAAAGTGCTGGGATTACAGGCATGAGCCACTGTGTCTGGCCACAAAATGATTTTTAAAAGGAGTTCAGATGATCAGAAATGGGGTTGAAAGACAAACGTAGGACCCTTGTTATGTGTGGTCTTGGCTTATTCAGTTGTTTATTCTATTTCTCCTGCCCCTTTTAGAGAGATACGTTGTTAGGGTTTTTGGCACTGTTATTAATATGAAATATTTCTACAAATAGAAGATAAATGTACATCCTACAGCAGTTGCTTGAGTTGTTTACACACATGAATTAGATAAGTTTATTTTTAGATTTTCTTTTCTTCTGTTTTCTCCATTCTGTTTTCTCCTCTTCAGTCCCCTTAACCCTGCCCTAGAGCAGACCCTCCTCATCTGTTCTGGGACTTTTCCAATAGCCTGTACTTTATGAAGGACTATTCATTAGTCCATATTGTTCTTTGATGTGGCAGGCTTCCAGAAGTCTCTCAGCCCTAGGGGAATTGTTCATAGTCTCAGGCAACTCTGGATCTTTTTTGGCAGAAATGTGTATATTTTTTATCTGCTAATTATAGAGCCTGAATGTCCTCCTCTCTGTTGACCTTCTTAGTTTTCCTTTGAATTGGTATCCTTTGTGTTGCAGATGTCATCTTTCTTGAAGAGTGCTTGATTATGTGTATTTAACTGAAAATCGAATAAATCTCTAAATATTGTAAAATATGCTCTTCAAAATAACCTGCATTTTGGAATTGGTATGGATAAAGTCAGTTTTAGAATCACTAAAGTCAGACAGAAACCTATTGTAATGTGAAAGACGAGGTGGATCAAATACTTGCTGTTCCAGGGTCATGGAAGGAAAAAAATTGCAGTTCATGTTCTTCTTATAATTAAGCTTCAGAAGTTCTTCACAATAGCAGTGTCTGAGGACTGCTTTTGTGAGCAGGTAGTACCAGTTGTTGAGACATTGTTGAGAGAGCACATGAATTGTCTCAAACTAGTTAGTTGGGTCAAGGGAAAGATAAAATGAAGGGTGAATGAGTCTTTCTATTGTACTCTGAGGCATGACAGCGTGTTCCACTTTTGAGCTTTTATCAAGATGGGACTTGTCTAGACTTCTAATGAAATGGGCTTCAGGTAAAGTAGAAACATTATGTCAAGAGGATTTTTGGTTGTTCAAATGAATGTTAAACATTCTTTTAACTCTTTGGATCTTAGATAGATTTGATAGTTGTGATACCTTTACTGTATGTAACACATGATCCTGTCCTGAATGATCAGCAGCTTTCAGGAGTTACTCTTGTATTCCCAGCTACATTTGTGATACTTTCAGTGCTAAGAAAATCTATATTCTGTAGCTTTGAAGTTATTTAACAGTTAAGTACTATTTGCTGGTTTATTCTGATTTTGTCTTAAATGACAAATATTTTATTCATCCTTTCTCTTCAAACATTATTTAACAAATGTACGTTTTAATGTTTCTCAAAAATGAAGGTCTATATTCTTTTTATATGTTTTATCTTTGTATGTTATTTCTTTCATCTTTTTTTTTTTTTTTTTTTTTCTGAGACAGGGTCTCACTCTGTTACCCAGGCTGGAGTGCAGTGGTTTGATCATGGCTCACTGCAGCCTCGACCTCCCGGGCTCAAGTGATCCTTGATCCTCCCACCTCAGCCTCCTGAGTAACTGGGACTACAGGTGTGCACCACCTTGTCTGGCTAATTTTTTTTTTTCTTTTTTTTGAGACAGTCTTACTCTGTTGCCCAGGCTGGAGTGCAGCCGTGTAATCATGGTTCACTGCAGCCTTGACCTTCCCAGGCTCAAATGATCCATCCTCCCACCTCAGCCCCCCAAGTAGCTTGGACTACAGGCACACACCACTACACCCAGCTAATTTTTGTATTTTTTGTAGAGATAGGGTTTCGCCACGTTGCCCAGGCTGGTCTTGAACGCCTGAGCTCAAGCAGTTCACACACCTCGGCCTCCCAAAGTACTGGGGTTATAGGCGTGAGCCACCGTGCTCAGCCTTTTATTTTTAATATATAAGAAATGCCTTTTTTTTTTTTTTTTTTTTAATTTGAGATGGAGTCTTGCTGTCTTGCCCAGGCTGGAGTGTAGTGGCATGGTCTCGGCTCACTGCAACCTCCGCCTCCCAGGTTAAAGCAATTCTCCTGTCTTGGCCTCCCGAGTAGCTGGGATTACAGGCATGTGCCACCACTCCTGGCTAATTTTTTTGTATTTTTAGTAGAGACGGGGGTTTCACCATATTGGCCAGGCTGGTCTCGAACTCCTGACCTTGTGATCTGCCCACCTCGGCCTCCCAAAGTGCTGGGATTAGAGGCATGCCCCACCACGCCCAGCCCATTGTTTTATCATGACAGTAGCAATGTGTTTTAATTGTAAAATTCTTGACTTTTTGTTTTGTTTATAAACTTCCTTTTCTTGGCCCTGTGCCTTAAACTACAGTAGATTAGGTGAAACTGTTCTCTGATCACACTAGCATTTAAAATATGAACCTGAATCTTCTCAGGTACTTTGATCTCTCCAATCTATTAATGTTTCTGAGTACATAAACATCAATTAGCTCACCAAATTAAAGTTAGCAAATGCGTCAGCCATGTAATTTGCATGTGACATTTTGAGTTAGCAGGGCCAAGAGGGAAGTATGTTTTTGTGAGTGGGTGTGCTTATCTCTCTGTCTTCAGGTGGTGATGGAAAGTTGTACATGTAAGAGAAGGAGTTGTGGCAGTGGATATGTGAAATGCTAACTGTACATATGCCTCTGCTTGGGGCAGAAGCACTTTACCAGAGAAGTCTCCAACAGTTGCAAACTACATATTCTTTTTCCTTATATAAGTGAATCTTTTAATTAGTGTAATATTATGTAGAGTGTATGTTTTTTCTGTTTTTTTTTAATGAAAGGTGATATTTTGATAAATCTGCAAAATGAGCAATATAGACAACATTTTAGAGTGAATGATACTAGATTTAAACTATGAGGCTGGTCTCTGCAAAGATACAAAGTAAATACTAATCACTGGTCTAAGCAAAATCCAGGAAGGATTTTTGTTAATTTGACAAGTGGGTTTAGAATTCTTTAGCCACTATTTTTTAGAAACCAGCTTTGTTCATACATCCTTTCTCTAATTTGCCTCACTTTTGATCTGTGATAAACCAGCTGCAATTTGGTTTCATTAACAAACTTAACTGGTCAACAGATGTTTTGGCTCTATTTTGTCCTTTCTATTAGAAACAGCATAGGCGTACACAGAAACCATGCTGGGCCTTTTCCTGTCTGTAGCTCGACAGGCGTTACAGAAGAGCAACCTAACTTTACTTACAAGTTCAATTTTTCTTCCTCAGTATTTTTATTATAGGTATACAAACATTGTAGTTTTGTCTCCCCCATCAAGTCGGTCTTTTGTTGTTAATCTTCCATCTGTTAGTCCAGTATACACTTCTCACCCTGCTTTTTAGCATTGCAAAATCTTAGCATGCAGGGAAAAAGGTACTATTGCAGGAGAGGTAATTGAGATATCAGCGACTCTTCCACAATTCAAGGGAAGGAGTGGAACTAGCCTGGTGAATTTAGATAATTTCTTCCGTCTTCTTTGATGTCAGTGAGCTGCCATATGGAGAGCAGTGAGGCCTGCAGGAAGGAGGTGAGCCTTGGTCTGGGCTGCCTAGGGTGTTCAGAGTGACATGGGCTGAGAGCCAGAGGCAGAGCTTGACTGTTTCTGTTAGTAGTTTCTGATGTGACCAGCCCTGCTTTTTGTCCAAGGTTTCCCTGTCATGCTTGCCACCCTATGGGTATGATGAAGTTTAAGAAACAGATCATAAACATTATCTTGGGAAAGAGAAACATAAGAACATATTAAAATCTAGTAATAAGGCCATTAAAAGATGACTCCCATTTGATATTTGACCAACTTGTTTTCAAAATTAGTATTGTAAACACTTCTGTCTTATAACAAAACCCAGCTTTAGCTGTTGAGCCTTGAGTTGTGAGTAAAGCAGCAGAAAACAGGATCTGCTAGTGGAAGAGTATTGGCTGTTTGAAGAACATCAGCTGTTCCAGGTAGACTCCTGGCAGTGTGTGAGCAGACCTGGGAAAGGCAGGCATGGAGGGAGCTAGGAAAATACTTCTCTCCTAACCTTTATAATTTATAAAATTAGAGTATTTCATAAATATTAAAAGAGTAGTACAGTAAACACTCTATTTCTTTCACATAGATTCACCAATTTTAACATTTTGCCACATTCTTTCTCTTCCTATATGTGTGTATATGTATATGTTTTTATACATGGGTGTGCGTATATATACAGCACATTTATATATTCACAATTTTGACTAAACTGTTGGAAACTAAATTACAAATATTATATTTCACCCCTAAATACTTAATAATATATCAAAAATGTTCTCTTATATACTATACTATTACGCAAAAAATTCGGCAGTGGAATGAGTGTTAACTGACAGTCCATATTTCCCCAAATGGCCCCAAAATCTCATTTATAACTTTTGACTTTTTTTGAGATGGAGTCTCGCTCTGTTGCCCAGGCTGGGGTGCAGTGGTATGATCTTAGCTCACTGCAACCTCCACCTCCCAGGTTCAAGCAATTCTCTTGCCTCAGCCTCCCGAGCAGCTGGGACTACAGGTGCGTGCCACCATGCCCGGCTAACTTTTTTTATTTTTAGTAGTGATGGGGTTTCGCCAGGTTGGCCAGGCTGGTCTTGAACTCCTGACATCAGGTGATCTACCCGCCTAGGCCTCCCAAAGTGCTGGGATTAAAGGTGTGAGCCACTGCGCCTGGCCAACTTTTGACTTTTCATCCAGGATCCAACCAAAGATCATATATTGCATTTGGCTGTCATGTCACCTTTAATAGAGAACAGTTTTCCCTCCTTTTTGCTTCTGAAGACATTGACATTTTTGAAGAGTCTAGGGTAGTTGTCTTGTAGGATGTCCCACAATTAGTATTTGTCTGACTGTATCCTCATGATTAGATTCAGAGTAAACATTTTTGACAAGAATAGCGTGTGGGGGTCTGGGAGTGGTGGCTCACACCTATAATCCCAGCACTTTGGGAGGCTAAGATGGGTGGACTGATTGAGCTCAGAAGTTTGAGACCAGCCTGGGAAACATGGTGAAACCCCGTTTCTACAGAAAATACAAAAAAATCAGCTGGGCGTGGTGGCATGTGCCTGTAGTCCCAGCTACTTGGGAGACTGAGGTAGAAGGATTGCTTGAATCCAGGAGATGGAGGTTGCAGTAAGCCAAGGTCACACCACTGCGCTCCAGCCTGGGTGACAGAGTGAGACTCTGTCTCAAAAAGAAAAAAGAAAAGAAAAAATACTGTATGGGGGATGTTGTATATTTCTTCTTGTGAGATACCAGGAGATAAATAATTTCAGCTTGTCTCATTACTGGTGGTGCTTAGTTTATCAGTTGGTTAAGGTGGCATCTGCTAGATCTTCGTTTATAAAGGCGCCTTTTCCCTTTTGTAATTAACAAGTAATCTGTGCAATGATACTTTGAAAGCATGTGAGTAACCTTTCACCCAGTGTGTATTAGTTTTCTATTGCTGCTGTAACAAATTACAGCAACTTAATGGTTTAACACAACACAAATGTATTGTCTTACAGTTCGGTAGGTCAGAAGTCCAACATGGGTTTCTTAGGTTAAAATGAAGGTGAGGGCAAGGTAATGTTCTTTTCTGGAGGCTCTAGGAGAGAATCTTTTCCCTTGCTTTTTTGAGCTTCTAGAGGCTGCGCATATTCCTTGACTCATGATCCCTTCCTCCATCTTCAAAGCCAGCAATGTTGCATCTCTCTGACTGTTCTTTCACAGTCACATCTGCCTCTTACCACAGCCTGGACAGTTTTTCAGCTTTTAAAGGATGCATATTATTAGATTGAGCCCATTTGGATAATCCAGATAATGCCCTTATCTCACAGTCCTTAACTTTATCATATCTGCAAGGTTATTTTGCCAGGTAAGGTTCTGGGCATTAGGAAGTAGACATTTTTGGGGGAGCCCATTATTTTGCCTGCCACACAGGGTTTAGTATTGTCACCTAAATCAAATTTTGCATTGGGGGTTGCAAATCATTGAAGGTTTTGGGCTATGGTGAACCATGATCAAGTCTGTTTAGAAAGGAAAGAGGGCCAGGTGCAGGTAGCTCACATCTATAATCCCAATGCTTTGGGAGGCCAAGGCAGGTGGATCACTTGAGGCCAGGAGTTTGAGATCAGCCTGGACAACATAGTGAGATCCCATCTCTAGAAAAAATTTTTAAAAATTATCCAAGTGTGATGGCACAGAACTGTAGTC
The DNA here is from genome assembly GCF_000001405.40 of Homo sapiens. NCBI lineage: Eukaryota > Metazoa > Chordata > Mammalia > Primates > Hominidae > Homo > Homo sapiens. Next base: position 62,581 of record NW_009646202.1, read on the forward strand.
CTAACTACTTGGGAGGCTGAGGTGGGAGGATTGCCTGAGTCCAGAAGTTTGAGGCTGTAAGTGAGCTATGATCGTGCCACTGCACTCTAGCCTGGGCGACTGAGCAGGACTCTATTTCTTAATTAAAAAAAAAAAGGAAAAAATAACCAGAAAGGAATTAATCACAGTTTATGGGAGTAATGCTAGCTGAAGGCCGGGGGTCAAGAGGCCTGAGTTTTGAGTCTCATGGTACATCCTGAGTCATTTCCAGGAGAGCAGGAACGGGGGCGTGCACTCTTGCCTCCACTTCATGTCCCTTTACTCACTAGTTGAAGAACTGAAGAATGGATTTGGCACTAATAGCTTCAGAGTTTTTAACAATAGAAGTTTGGATGGGCAATTTTTTTTTTTTTTTTTTTGAGACAGGGTCTCACTTTGTTGCCCAGGCTGGAATGCAGCGGTGTGATCATGGCTCACTGCAGCCTTGACCTCCTAGGCTCAAGCACTCCTCCCACCTCAGGGTCCTGGAACTACAGGGGCGTGTGCCACCATGCCCAGCTAATTTTTGTATATTTGATAGGCATGGGTTTTGCCATTTTGCCCGGGCTGGTCTCGAACTCCTTGGCTCAAGCAATCTACCCACCTTGGCCTCCCAAAGTTCTGGGATTACAAGTGAGAGCCGCTATGCCTGGCCCAAAATGATTTTTGAGAAGTACATTTAAAGTTGTAGAGAAGGGTCTTTCATTTAAATGCCCACAGGGTGCATGAAAAATACAAGGTGATTTATCAAGATAGGCTCTTTGGCTCATGCCTGTAATCCCAGCATTTTGGGAGGCCGAGGTGCATGGATCACTTGAGGTCCAGAGTTCGAGACCAGCCTGGGCAACATGGCGAAACCCCATCTCTACTAAAAATGTAAAAATTAGCTGGGCATGGTGGCTCACGCCTGTAGTCCCAGCTACTCAGGAGGCTGAGGCAGGAGAATCGCTTGAACCTTGGAGGTGGAGATTGCGGTGAGCCAATATTGTGCCACTATACTCCAGCCTGGGCAACAGAGCAAGACTCCATCTCTGGAACTCCTGATCTCAAGTGATCTACCCACCTTGGCCTCCCAGAGTGCTGGGATTATAGGCATAAGCCAGTGTGCCCTGCCTTTGATGATATTTCAAAGACTAAGTAACATCTGAAGAATTTTATGTCTTTTATTTATTTATTTAGACAACGTCTTGCTCTGTTGCTCAGGCTGGAGTGCAGTGGCACGATCTTGGCTCACTACAGCCTCCACCTCCCAGGTTCAAGCAATTCTCATGCCTCAGCCTCCTGAGTAGCTGGAATTACAGGTGCCTGCTACCATGCCCAGCTAATTTTGTATTTTTTTTTTAGTAGAGATGGGGTTTCACTGTGTTGATCAGGCTGGTTTTGAACCCCTGGCCTCAAGAGATCCAGCCACCTCAGCCTCCCAAAGTGCTGGGATTATAGGCGTGAGCCACTGTGCCCAGCATATATCTATAATTTAAATTAGAACCCTCAATCAGAGAAGTCTAAATAGGCTGAAAAAGAAACTCATTTATTTAAAAAAGAAAAATGACATGCAGATGGATGTATATTATATTCTTTTAGTTTTTAGTAAAAATTCAGAAAAATAAACATGAACTTGAGGTAACGAGCCTCTAGAATTCTTCATTTTATTTCATTTCACAATGTTTCAGCAGTCTTCTGCAGTTAGTTGGAAGGTTTTGGAAATTCTGACTAATCCAGTTGTTGAAGAATAACTAGTTAGCTTAATAAATATGTTTTCTAGAGCTGATAAAAAAGATGATTTTTTCATCTGATGAGCTCTGACCCTCTATAAACCTTCTAACTTAACTCATTTTCCACCAGCTACAGAAATGTAACAAGATGCCAACAATTACATCCTCATGGAGCATGTATACTAGCTTATAAAATCACCCCTTTGTTGGAAAATTGTGTAATATCTTGATTTCAATTTAGCATGGCATGTTGGTTAGCAGTAAATCTTGCTAGTGTATGAACACAAGCCTGCAGGCAGTTTGGAGAACATTGATCAGGTGTAAATTGTATGTATTTTTCTCGCTTCTAAAAATTTTATAGCAGAATGAAATAAAGAGCTAGCATTGAGAACACTTTTTCAGTTGTTTTTTATTTTTTATTTTTATTTATTTTTATTATACTTTAAGTTCTAGGGAACATGTGCACAAGTGCAAGTTTGTTACATATATATACATGTGCCATGCTGGTTTGTAGGTTGTTTTTTATTTTGACATGTATCTTGTGGAAAGTGCCTTCTCTCTCCTGAAATCCATGATTTGTGTCTCTGACCACTTAGGTTCCCCATTTAGTATGTGACACATAGCAAAAGCAAACAAGCATAGTTAAAACGTGTATTTGTGCCTTGTGAAATGTGCATTATAAGCAGTTAATACTAGATTTGAAGGCTGTACAAAAAACATGCAAAAAGATATTAATATTAAATACTTAGTGCTTATTGTGTATATTAAGCATTTAATATATACAATATAATTTTGCATGAACTCTGAAAGATAAGTACTGTTATTAACTGAATTTTACAGATGAAGAAACAGGCCAAATAAGGTGACTTGCCCAAGAGTACACAGGAAGTATTGGAGCTGGTGTTTCAATCCTGGTGCACAGGCAGAGTGTAGTGTAGTCACTTTATCACCTTCTGCCTCTCATTTCTTCGGGCGAAATCAACACATACCTAGTGAATTCTTGCAATATATAAAACACTGTATTAGGCACATAATATGGAAGTTACCACATATCTAAATGGTAATAAAAGTGATCAGTTGAGGCTAGGCATGGTGGCTCACGCCTGTAACCCCAGCACTTTGGGAGGCCAAGGCAGGAGGATCACTTGAGGCCAGGAGTTCGAGACCAGCCTGGGAAACATGACAAAACCCCATCTGTACCAAAAATACAAAAATTAGCTGGGCCAGGCGCAGTGGCTCACACCTGTAATCCTAGCACTTTGGGAGGCTGAGGCGAGTGGATCACCTGAGGTCAGGAGTTCGAGACCAGCCTGACCAACATGGAGAAACCCCGTCTCTACTAAAAATGCAAAATTAGCCGGGCGTGGTGGCACATGCCTGTAATCCCAGCTACTCGGGAGGCTGAGGCGGGAGAATCACTTGAACCCGGGAGGTGGAGGTTGCGGGAGCTGAGATCGTGCCATTGCACTCCATCCTGGGCAACAAGAGTGAACCTCCGTCTCAAAAAAAAAAAAAACATTAGCCGGGTGTGGTGACACACACCTGTAATCCCAACTCCTCAGGAGGCTGAGGCAGGAGAATCACTTGAATGCCGGAGGCCGAAGGTGCAGTGAGCAGAGATCACACCACTGCATTCCAGCTTGGGTGACAGAGCGAGACTCTGTCTCAAAGGTAAAAAAAAAGAAACATGCTAATACATACAGCTGTTATTCCTTTTCAAACGATCATTGGAGTGATCATCACTTTTAGAGCAATTGAAATTTTAAGAATGAATAATAACAACCAACATTTATAAAATGCTTTACTATGAGGCAGGCACTACTTCAAGTGCTTTGTGTATAACCTGTTTGTAAGGTAGGACTATTCATTCTTCGTTTACAAAGGAAGAAGCTGAGGCATGTCAGGTGAAAGGACTTGCCCAAGATTACCTAGCTATTAATGTGGTAGAGCTGGAGCCAGGATTTAGACCCAGGCATCCAAGCTCCTTGATCTGTACATGTAACCATTATACTACATTACCTCTCATTTTCCTGATGAAGAAAACTTCTTTTAATGAGAAGGTATTGAAAATAGTTTCATATTAGGTTCTTATAAACATGAGCCTTTAAGTGCCTTTTTACTGTTTATAATAGACGTCACTGAGAAGATTGTTAAAATTTATAATATGATATCATTAAAGTAGCTTTTCCCAAATGATGTTCTGAGGAAGAAGGAAGTACTCTACAAGAAATTAATGATGCTAATAATAGTCTGAGATTTACAGTACCTGAGTAGTTCTAAAATTTACCTTGCCTAACCCAAGATGATTTGACGATGGGCCTCTCTCCTCTTTGTCTTCATAGCAGCCATTCACTTGTCTAGAAATCTTTGCATTTGGTTAAGCAGTTTGGATAGTGCTGATGTAAGGTTATAGTGCTAATTCCTTTGCTTATTTCTTCTAAATACACATCCCAAGGGAAACCATTGATTAATTAAACTTGGAGTTTGTCCTTCAGAATAGAAAACCAAAAATCATCAAATTCACCCCTTGTCTCTATTAATGTATTGATTTAGTAATATTTATGTAATTCTTTAAATGTAGTATAAAACTTTAGAGTTGCAGGAGATCTTTGAGATCACCAAGTCCAGGGTTTTAAGGCTAAGGTTCAAGGAGCCCTTTTTTCTGGGGTTTGTAGACCTCTGAAATTATATGCAAAAAGAGTATTTTTCTGGAGCTTCTTGCCCCTCCTCTCCTTCAGCAGGTCATTTGACCTAGGCCAGTGGTTCCCAAACTTTGCTGCACATTAGAATTACTGGAGGAGCTTTTAAACGTTAGATGCCCAGATCACACCTCCATGCTGCTTAAATAAAAATGTTGGAGTGGGAGTCAGGCATTAGAACTTTTTGAAGTTTCCTTGTGATGCCAGCATGCATCACATGCTTTCTTCTTTAATAGATGAACAAGTAGGATCTACTTATGTGGCTGAGGAAGCAATCTAGAGATGTTAATTGGTCAGGGCTCTGCTTCCTGCTAAAAGAGATTTTAGAGATCGTTCTGAAGGAGTCTTGTGGGGAAGTGGCTCTGGAGCTAGAATGCTTAGGTTCAAATCCCAAGTTTTCCTCAGCTGACTAATAGGGATGATAATATAGCACTGACCACACTGGGATAGTCGCTGCCTGAGCTACAGAGGTGGTGAGCTTGTCCTCAGCCTCAACAGAAAGGTCAGCTGAACAGACTCCAAGGCAGTGGAGGGACGGCAGCCCCCAGCACTCCACTCTGCCATACTGTTTGGGAAGGAAAAGCTGTAAACCGATGTCCTCATTACCTTCTAACGAAGACCTCCTCTCCTCTTGCTCTCTTACGCCAAGAATGGCTAGAATCCGTTTCTCTTTGTGGCTCCTTCCACCCCACCTCATGTTATTTAAGTAATCAGAAAAGGAGTCTATTATTTTCAGAGTAACACATGCTCCTTGTACAGACTTTGAAAAACAGAAAGATTTGGAGATGATACATTATCACTGCAAATTTGACTATAAAGATAACTACTGTTGAAAGTGTGTATTTTCTTCCAGTCTTTTTTCCTTTTTTCCTACATGTAAATATGTATGCTATATTTAAATAAAAAGAAGACTGTGTGAGCTATATAATTTTGTATCTTCCTTTCTAAATTTAAAATCTGTTGTGAGCCTTTTCCCATATTCTTGATTATTCTTTGAAGCTGACTAAATAGCTGCATAGTATTTATGTCTTTATCCTTCAAAATTTAAGGTGCTCCTAAATCTTCTGCTATTACAAATAATACCGCTACTAAAAATTTGTGCATGTGTGGATAATTATTTCCCATAGAATAGATTACTAAAGGAGGTAATACTGAGGCATGACTATGAATTCTTTTTCTAAAGCTTTGGAAGCATATTATCAAAAACTGTTCCAAAAAGATAGTACCAATTTATACTTATGGGCAGAGTATAAGGGAGTGTGGGCATCTAATTGATTCTTAATGCTTACCTTTTGTCATGTTAATGTAGTAGAGGGAAGAATGGATCCTTAGGAGTTACTTTGCATTTCTTTGATTACTAATGACTTGGACATTTTAAAATGATTAATGGCCATTGCTAAATAACAGTGTTGTGGTTATTTCCCCATCCTTATTCCTATGCCCTGCAGATAAGCATCTTCAACTCTTTCAACCACATTTAGTCTGGCTTCTTAGGGAAGTTGGAGGTCTGTAATATTCTTACGCTGTTGTTTCTTATTTTTAAATTGTAGACATTATCTGTTGACTTCTTGCGAGTGTAGATAAGGATAAAGGTCCCTCATACACATACACTTTTCTCTTTCCCTTTGCCCCTCTTATCTCAATATACACTACTTTTATGTAGGTAAGTATATGTATTCAGTGCTTATATTTTTATGAGTTTGTAAATATTATTCACACTTGAGCCATCAAAATTTTTTGTTGTTGTTTTTTTGAGACAGGGTCTCTCTCTTTCAGCCAGGCTGGAGTGCAGTGGCGCGATCTCAGCCCACTGCAACCTCCACCTCCTGGGTTCAAGTGATTCTCTTGCCTCAGCCTCCAAAGTAGCTAGGACTACAGGTGCACACCACCATGCCCAGCTAATTTTTGTATTTTTTGTATTTTTTTGAGATGGAGTCTCACTGTCGCCTAGGTTGGAGTGCAGTGGCGCGATCTCGGCTCACTGCAACGCTCCATCTCCCAGGTTCAGGCGATTCTCCTGCCTCAGCCTCCTGAATAGCTGGGATTACAGGCGTGCTCCACTACGCCCGGCTAATTTTGTGTTTTTTAGTAGAGACGGGGTTTCACCATGTTGGCCAGGCTGGTCTCGAACTCCTGACCTCAAGTCTGTATAAAAAAGCCTGTATATGTTCTGTAAAGACGCAACCATCCACTTTTTTCCCCTCAGGTATTTTATTTATATATTTGGAGACAGGGTCTTTCTCTGTTGCCCAGGCTGGTGTGCAGTAGTGTGATTTCAGCTCACTGCAACTTCCGCCTCCTGGGTTCAAGTGATTCTTCCCCCTCAGCCTCCTGAGTAGCTGGGATTATAGGCATGGGCACCACCCCAACCCTCGACTACCCCAGGTGTTTTGAATTGAGGTTAGTTGACTCCACACATACAGAGGTCCAACTGTATATAAAGTAAAGAGTAAAAGTTTTACCTCATTGGCCCTGTGTGTTCTTCTCTGAAAACAGCTTTCCAAAGGCAGCCACACTTGGTGGTTTGTATGTATTCTTACAGGGCTTTTTAAAGCACTTGTAAGCTAATATTATACCTACGTTTATGTATTTCTTGTAACAGAAATTGGGATCGGACTTTGGTATTTTTTCTTTTGAAAAGTTTTTAGATATATAAGACATATATGAGTACATTCTTCTTGAAAAAGTTCTAATAGCAGAAAGAAAGTGTCACACAAACTCCCTGAGTCTCACTTACCTTATCTGTAAAATGGGAAGGATTATATATTCTTCATAGGGTTGTTAATTAGAATTTAATGAAATTATGCATTTAGGTGGCCTAACACAGTGCCTATTCAATAACAAAAATGAGCTAGTTATTTTGAACATGTATCAGCTTTGGAATTTTTAATGAAGAGCATTTTGGCATATTACTGTATAGTTTGACAGTGGTCTTTTGATTTGCTCAGTCCTTTTTCAGGGTCTTACAGAAGAAAAGGAGAGTCTTACATGTTTTCCTTCATAGCTTTGTATGCTGTAAATATGAGTTTAGTTTAATAGCAGAGTTTTTCTTTCTTTTTTGAATTAATTATTTGGATTGCTTCCTCTCTACTGCCTTCAAGCCAAAAGCTCAGAGTTTCCCAAACCAAAGTGTGCCTCAATCACAATTTTTACCAGTTTTATACAATCTGTATTAATTATTTTATCTTTTTTTTTTTTTTGAGATGGAGTCTTACTCTGTCACCCAGGCTGGAGTGCAGTGGCACAATCTCAGCTTACTGTAATCTCCACCTCCCAGGCTCAAGCGATTCTCCTGGCTCAGTCTCCCAAGTAGCTGAGATTACAGGCGTGCACCACCACGCCTGGCTAATTTTTATATTTTTAGTAGAGAGGGAGTTTCACTGTGTTGCCCAGGCTGGTCTTGAACTGCTGACCTTAAGTGATCCTCGTGCCTTGGCCTCCCACAAGTGCTGGGTTTACAGGCATGAGCCACTGCACCCAGCCCCTGTATTATTTTCTTAATACTTGCTTTCACATTACCGCACTAAAGAGGCATAATAACCAAATGCCGTGCATGGAAAACAGTACAGTTGACCCTTGAACAACACAGGTTTGTGCTGCGCTGGTCAACTTACGTGCTGATTTTTTTCAACCAAATCTAATACAGTATTCATGGATGCAAAATGCACACATACAGAGGGCTGATTTTTTGTCTCTGTGGGTTCTTCAGGGCCAGCTGCAGGACTTGAGTATGTGTGGATTTTGTTATAGTCTGAGGTCTTGGAACTGATCCCTCATGTATAACAAGGGATGACAATATTAAAAAATTACTTATTTGGGGGATAATTGGATACATTTGAATTTGGATTACATATTAAGGGAACTTAATGGCATTAATGTTATTGTTCTTCAATATGATAATGGCATTTTGATTATCTAGGATGTCTTTATGAGTTGGGAGATGCCTTCGGAAGTATTTAATGGTGAAGTGTCTTGATGTTTGCAGCTTACTTTCAAATGGTTCAGCAAAAATCATACTAAAATATGTATGTATAAATATATGTGTGAATATAGACAGATATAGATAAAGATATGAGGCAAAAGATAGGACCCCTAATTGTTGAATCTAGGTGAAGGGCATACCAGTGTTCATTATGCTACTTCAACTTTTCTGTAGGGCTGAAAGTTTTTCAAAGTGTAAACTTGGAAAAATAAATGTAATTAGAATATTTACTTAAAATTAAATTGCCTCATTTTCTTTATCTTAGTAGATTTACTAAAAAAAAGGAGTCTATATCATTATTGTAAGTGGAAAACAAGCATTCCTTGCCATAAATAGAAGATAACTGTAAAAGTTATTATTTTAAAAAGTTTCAGCTGGATATTGTTGTCTGCCAAGGCTCTGAGCCTGAGGCCTGCTCTCTCAAAAGAAGATTAACAAGCATTAGAGGCGTTAAACACAATATTAGCACCAAAATGAGACTTTCTTCTTGACTTAATGGGAAGGTATGAAAGAAAATTGAAAAGGGAACAAGTTTCTCATTCTGTGTGATTCAGCTCACCTCATAACATCTCAAGTCTCACCTCAAGGCATCTTGAGTACCACTAGTGATAGAATCCCACACTTGGGGAAATACTGTATCAGGTGATTTCAGTGTAATGTGTTAGAATGAAAGTAAATTTTTATATTAAATACTGTTTATAGTGCCCATTATGTCTTTTTTAAACCTTGTATGTTGGTTTATCATCATCATTATTATTATTTGGTAGTCTCGATAACTAGAGCTAGCTGCATGGTTAGCTGCGTGATGTCCTGGCTTAGGGCAGATGTCAGATATTGCAGTCTAAATTATTATTGGGGTATACTTATTCTATTTTATGATATGCAGTGTTGCCTGACTCTCGAAGCATAATAAAGCCAATTGAGATCTTTAAAAAATTAATTATTATTGATTTCTTACTCTGAAGTTGCTCTTGTAGTGGGTTTTTGCTATATATATTTTTTCTTTCCTTCTTTTTTTCTTGCTACATTGTTCCTGCTGTTATTTGGAAGGCACTAGGACATTTTGCCTCTTGAACAATGAAAGGATCCAGATCGTGTCTGTCTCACATTTTGTTATCCCAGTACAAGACTCAATTGAATAAAACATATTACCCATCTGGCCTGGAAATCTCAGTGGCACTCAAAATAACTTACTAACAAGTTGTTGGATCATGATATCTTGAGATTTTCTGAAAGTTCAGCTTCTTTTTAGCTGTTGCTAAGAGAGAAATTTCATTGACATGAGGGACACGAGGACATGTCTGCACACTGCCAGTTGTTTTAGAGGCATTTGGCTCTGCCGCCTTGCAGATGGTTAGACTCTGGGTGGTGGGTGAATGTATGCTGATTATCTTATTGAATTAAGGTAACCTTTTGTCATTCATTGAATTCTGCAGACCAGTTGGTCAGTGAGCAGCTGCTCCATGTGGCTTGGTTTGGGTTTTGAAGTACACAAAAACTATCTTAAAGGGTGGTCAGTCTAATCCAGGTATTCAACAAAGCAATATTGAAAGCCTTCTTCCCCTTTTGACACTGTTTTCTGTTCTGATGGAAGTGAATGAGCAAAAATATTTTTACTTTTTGCTCAATTAACTAAATGATTGAAGCAAAGGTTTATGGAATGGCCGAATAAGAATTTTTTAACCTAGTGCTTTAAGTTGAAGAAAATACACTTTCATAATATTTGGTGTCAGAAACATTCTACTTTTATGGCATGGTCTTATGTTTGAAGATACGTGGTAGAGTTTTTAAAGTTTATTTTTACAAATATCTAGAAACTAAAAAGCATTCTTTTTTATCATGCATGCTTAATAACATCATCTTGACAAATACTAGCTGCATAACTTTTGGTTTGTAGGGTTGTTTTAAGATCAGTTTTTTGTTTGTTTATTATATTTTAAGAGACGGTGTCCCTGTCTTGCCCAGGCTCGTCTTGAACTCCTGAGCTCAAGCAATCCTCCTGCTTCAGCTTCCCAAATAACTGGAATAAATCTGCCATATTTTTTCTATATGGCTTCCATTTCAGTTTCTAGAAACTCTTTCAGGAGGCTTCATTTTAAATAAAGAGGTTCTTAATTGTTTTTAGTAAATTGCTGAAATTGTATGGCTCATTTCTCTTCTCAGAGATTTTTATCTTGAGCTGATCCTTTTGGTTTTACTGAAGGTGCAATATAGGTAACCTCAGAGAAAGTGACTTTAGCCACTAGTTGATTTGCTTATTGTCAGAGAGAAATCATTTAACAGTGATTGATGAGGAACTGTTTAATTTCTCCAGTTTAGTCACCTGTTGGGCCCTAGAGCCTTTCGATTCAGAGCTCACTGTTTCATTTGCATTTATATCCTAGTAACTATCATAATGTCTACCAGTATTTATTAAGCACATATTCTGTGCTGGGTGTCGCCGTTTATATATGCTCTTTCATTTTGTCCTCACCACAACTTTATGAGGCAGGTCTTGTTAGCTCCATGTTAGAGATGATACAGCAGCCTCCCAGGGATGTTCATTCACTTGTCTGGTATCATGCAGATAGTTAATGGCTGGGCCATATTGGAGTCCAGGGCCTTCAGACTCTCAGGCTCATGCTCCCTTCTGCCCTGCTGCTGTTTTAATGAAAATCAGCCTTGTTCTGAACCACAGTTTTACAATGAAGCTTAAGATTAAACTGAAAATGCTCAAGTTCTCTGTTAGGGCTTCAGATTCTATGTCTATACTTGTCTTATTAATGGTAAAAATAATGTAACAACATTAAAGAAAAATTTTGAAGGGTGAAACACTGTTTAGACTCTTGCCACCTTAATACAACCGTTTTGTTTTTGCTTATTTCCTTCCAGATTTGTTTATGCGCGTGTCCTTTCACACAACTATAATCAAAGCATATATACAGCTATGCAGTTTTTTTTTTAAACATAGTGTTATTTTATACATATTTTCTTTTTAAATGTTCTTTTTTGTTTTTGAGATGGAGTCTCACTCTGTTGCCCACCCAGACTGGAGTGCAGCGGTGCGATCTCCCCTCAGTGCAACCTCTGTCTCCTGAGTTCAGGTGATTCTCCTGCTTCAGCCTCCCTTGTAGCTGGGATTGGCCATGCCTGGCTAATTTTTGTATTTTTAGTAGATACAGGGTTTCGCCATGTTGGCCAGGCTGGTCTCGAACTCCTGGCCTCAAGCAATCTGCCTGCCTGGGCCTCCCAAAGTGCTGAGATTACAGGCGTGAGCCACCACGCCTGGCTTTAAATGTTGTTCTTTAAAAAGACTTTTCCCACCTCTTTGAATTTCCCAATCTCAACGAGGTCCCTTTTATAATTCGAACAAAGGACCATATGCTTTTTCTTATTAGCCTTTATTATAGTCTAATTATGTATTTATTTGTCTGGCTATTTTGTAACTTAAGTTGTCCCCTCTAAATGGAAAAGCTTCATGAAGACAGGGACCTTATTTCTGCTGTATGGATGCAAGCAGTTATTTATTAACTAAGATTAAGCTTCTGTTTATCTGTTACCTCATCTGTCAGAAACAGTTGGACAGATTTTCACCAAACTTAGAAGGTTTTTGAAGGGCATCTGTGGTGATCAGGAGACACATGACATATATTTTCTGATCCTGTGTCTGAGATAACATACAGAGATTTCAAACATGAGACCTGGCTGGGTGCAGTGGCTCATGCCTATAATCACAGCAATTTGGGAGGCTGAGGCAGGAGGATCAGTTGAGTCCGGGAGTTTGAGAACAGCTTGGGCAACTTAGCGAGACCCCACCTCTACAAAAATACAAAAATTAGACAGGTGTGATGGCATGCCCCTGTAGTCCCAGCGACTTGGGGGTGCTGAGGCAGGAGGATCAATCACTTGAGCCTGGGAGGTTGAGTCTGTTGAGTCTGCAGTGAGCCATGATCACACCACTGCATTCCAGCCTGGGAGACAGAACAAGACTCTGTCTCAAAAGACAAAAAACCCCACGAAAAACCAAATATGAGACCATGAGACCTATATTGAAGGGCCCAAGGGCAGATTGTCAAGATGGCAGACCTTGGTTTGCACTTTAGAGTTGGGTAGCTTCTTAACTTGGGCTGTTCCACATCTTAATCTAGGATGAGCAGCAACAAGGATGTCTTTATTTAATAATGACCAACAAGTCTCCCAGTCACATACTGACTAATTTCAAATAAATGCATTTGATCTTTTCATTTTCATTTTGCTTGTTTAAATATAAATTGTCTATTGAAAGAGTTTTTTTTTCTTTTTGAGACAGAGTTTTGCTCTTGCTGTCCAGGCTGGAGTGCAATGGTGGATCTTGGCTCATTGCAGCCTCCGCCTCCTGGGTTCAGGCGATTCTCCTGCCTCAGCCTCCTGAGTAGCTGGGATTACAGGCATGCGCCACCACGCCCAGCTAATTTTGTATTTTTAGTAGAGACGGGGTTTTCCATGTTGGTCAGGCTGGCCTCAAACTCCTCACCTCAGGTGATCTGCCTGCCTCGGCCTCCCAAATTGCTGGGATGACAGATGTGAGCCACCATGCCTGGCGTTTTTTTGTTTTTTTTTTTGATATGGAGTCTTACTCTGTCACCCAGGCTGGAGTGCTATGGCACGATCTCGGCTCACTGCAACCTCTGCCTCCCGGGTTCAAGTAATTCTCCTGCCTCAGCCTCCCAAGTAGCTGGGATTACAGGTGCCCAGCACCACGCCCAACTAATTTTTTTGTGTGTTTTTAGTAGAGACGGGGTTCCACCATGTTGGCCGGGCTGGTCTCAAACTCCTGACCTCACGTGATCCACCTGCCTGCCTCAGCCTCCCAAAGTGCTGGGATGACAGGTGTGAGCCACCAAGCCTGGCCTTTTTTTTTTTTTTTTTTTTTTTTTGATATGGAGTCTTACTCTGTCACCCAGGCTGGAGTGCTATGGTGCCATCTCAGCTCACTGCAAGCCCTGCCTTCTGGGTCCAAGTGATTCTCCTGCCTCAACCTCCCAAGTAACTGGGATTACAGGCACACACCGTCATACCCGGCTGATTTTTGTATTTTTAGTAGAGATGGGGTTTCACCATGTTGGCCAGACTGGTCTCGAACTCCTGACCTCAAGTGATCCACCTGCCTTGGCTTCCCAAAGTGTTGGGATTACAGGCGTGAGCCACCATGCCTAGCCCTCATATGGTTTATGAGTACTTAAGACATGTTTGATTCAATTTAAAAAATAATTACAAGCTGGGCATGGTGGCTAATGCCTATAATCCCAGCACTTAGGGAGGCTAAGACAGGAGGATTGCTTGAGCCCAGGAGTTTGAAAGCAGCCTGAGCAATATAGAGATACTCTGTCTCTACAAGAAATTTAAGAATAGGCTGCAACACTCACTCTAAGGGGAGCATTGTGAGGTATACCAAGATGAGTAAGAACAATATGGTTTAGCATGCCAGAACAAGGAAGTTTCAGGTGCTAGAAACACAGACATCCTCAGCTCAAACAGGAACGCCCAGAACAGTATACAAGAAAGCCTGGAGCTGGAGTCAGAAGACTGGCTCCCATGTGTGGTGTCCTAACTCTCTCTAGACCTCAATTTCCTCATATGTTTAATAAGGATAACAACCTACTCTTCAGCCCACCTGAGAGGACAGGATGCTTCAAGAAAGACAGTGAGCAGCAGGTCCTTTAAAAATCAAAGGAAAACAGGCTCCTGGATAGGTGTGAGATAGAAGTGAATTATGGCACATACGAGAGCAACAATAAATTATCCTTTACTAACAGTAACCTAAGGGAAATGCCCGGCATTGTGTCTGGCACAGACTAGATACTCAGTAGTTCCCTTCTCACACTTGCTCAGCCCTGTTTGAACCCAGACAGAGAGCAGCTCAAAATATGCAAGTATTACATACTCACAGAACCTGGAGACAAGAGAAGCGGCTTCTAGGCACATGGGCTCCCATCCTTGCAGCAGCTGGTATAGAGGTTGCATGACAACTTGTGAGGATTCTGCAGTAGCGTGGGCTCAGCTACATGACCTAAATAAAGGTCTCTTTCAACCCTGAGATTCTGTAAGTTTCTTTTTCTTTAGACAGAGTCTCACTCTGTCACCCAGGCTGGAGTGCAGTGACACGATCTCGGCTCAGCGCAACCTCTGCCTCCAAGGCTCAAGTGATCCTTCCACCTCAGCCTCCCGAGTAGGTGGGACTACAGTTGTGTACCACCATGGCTGGCAAAGTTTTAAAGTTTTTTTGTAGTGACAGGGTCTCACTATGTTACCCAGGCTGATTTTGAACTCCTAAGCTCAAGCGATCCTCCCACCTCAGGCTCCTGAGTAGCTGGGACTACAGTCTTGTGCCACCACTCCTGGCTAATTAATTTTTTTTTTTTTTGTAGAGAGGGGGTTCTGCTATGTTGCCCAGGCTGGGTGAACTCCTGGGTTCAAGTGATCCTCCCACTTTGGTCTTCCAAAGTGTTGGGGTTACAGGCATGAGCCACTGTACCTGTCTTAGTTTATGTTTTAAAGTCATCGAGAGACATGAAAACTAAATGGTCCTAGGTTGGAGGAAGAAAACTTACTGTAAAGGACAGTATTGGGGAAAACTGGCAAATTTGGAATATGTACTGACTGTTAGATGATACTCTTATATCAATGTTAAGTGTCCTAAGTCTGATAATACATTATGGAAATGAAGAGAATGACCTTGTTCTTAAGCGGGGTGAATGATCATGGTCTTTACAACTTATTCTCAAATGATTCACAAAAGAGAGATAAAGCAAAAGTGGCCAGTTTTAAAGGGCATATGGGTGTTTATTGAATTATTCCTGCAACTTTTCTATAGGTTTGAAATTTTTTCAAAATAAAACTTTTTTGCCCAGGCATGGTGGCTCACGGCTATAATTTCAGTGCTTTGGGAGGCTGAGGTGGAAGTATCGCTTGAGGCCAGGAATTGGAGACCAGCCTGGGCAACATAGAGAGATCCCATCTCTACAAAAAATGAAAAAAAAAAAAAGCCAGATGTGATGGCATGTGCCTGTGGTTCCAGCTGCTCAGGAGGCTGAGGCAGGAGGATCGCTTGAGCCCAGGAATACAAGGCTGCAGTGAGCTATGATCATGCCACTGCACTTTAGTCTGAGCAGCAGCAAAATAAATAAATAAATAAATAAATAAATAAAATAAAACTTTTTAAAGGTCACCGAGGCTGCTGTGTGGCCAGGGGAGCTATAGAGGAGCAAGGGTAGAGGAGGGCAAGCCTGGGAGGAGGCCTTTGTGAGGATGGAGGCATAGACTGGGGTTTTGACAGTGGGGATGGAGAGATGAGGACAGATCTGAAATATGTTTTGAAGAACATATTTAACAGAACTTGCTCATGGATTGGAAGAGATTTTAGGGGAGAGAGAGGGAGGTAGATGTTCCCCACTTGGTGCACCCTGATGGTTGCAGACTGAATTCCAATAGAATCTTCTCCCCAAGGTCTTTTTATTCCCTCTCTCTTTTCCTCAATTCAGCCACTCTATGAGTAGTTAATACAGGTATTTATTTCACAGATGAGGTGAGACTCAGGGAGATGAAATGACTCATTTAGAGTTATCAGGTGCAGACAGAAATTTTACTCTACCCAGAAAACCAAAATATAGGCATGAAATCAGTGTTCTTCAAACTGAATTGTCTCTCATTAATTGATTGTGAAATCAACATAATGAGTTCCTATCAGCATTAAAGAAAAAAAAAAGAGAAACAGAATAAAAATATAGCATGCCTTGTGTAAAAGGGTAAGTAATGTTTCATGAAACTTCTATTTTAGTTTAATATTCACATATGTGTATAGTAGGTCATGATGTGAACGTATTTCTTACTTGAAGTTATGAAAAATTGGAAAGGCACATACAGGATCATTGTAGAAGGAACTTATGTTATCACAGAGGTCCTGTAGTCCCCATGGGAATAAGAAAGCAAAAGACAAATTCACTTGGGTGGTTACTGTAGGTTGTCATATGTTGTTTATTTCTTCAGTGACTGATAGGCTGTAAGTCTGTCAGTTTCTTAGTTGTTTTCTTAGTTGATTTTTCTTTTCTTTTCTTTTCTTTTTCCGAGACAGAGTCTTGCTCTGTCGCTCAGGCTGGAGTGCAGTGGCGCAATCTCGGCACACTGCAACCTCTGCCTCCTAGTTCAAGGGATTCTCCTGCCTCAGTCTCCCGAGTAGCCAGGATTACAGCCATGCGCCACCACACCCAGCTAATTTTTTGTAGTTTTAGTAGAGACAGGGTTTCTACCATGTTGGCCAGGCTGGTCTCAAACTCCTGACCTCAAGTGATCCACCTGCCTCGGCCTCCCAAAGTGCTGGGATTATAAGCGTGAGCCACCATGCCCAGCCTTTCTTAGTTGATTTCATAGTCATCCTGTACTTCCAGTCTTGCCATTAGCAAATATTGAGTACTTGCTGTGTGCAGGGTTAGAAGTTACTTCTTTGTGTGAGATCTATGTTTTGTGTGTGGGTGGTGTGTGTGGGGTGTGTGTGTGTGTGTATGTGTGTGTGTGTTTGTGTGTTTAAAAGTAGACTTTTTTTTGAAGAGCAATTTTAGATTTACAGCAAAATTGAGTGGAAGGGGCAGAGATTTCTCATGTACTCCCTACCCCTACACATGCACAATTTTCCCCATTATCAACCTCCCCCACCAGAATGGTTGTTACATCTGATGACACATTGTAATTGCACAGCCTTATCACCCAAAGCCCATAGTTTACATTAGGGTTTACTCCTGGTGTTGTATATTCTATGGGTGTGAGATACATGTTTAAAAATATTTTGTATTAGATAAATTGGGGATAATAGTCATTTCAAGAACAAAATGTTGGATAAATTAAATTAGCTAATAAACACAGAGTGCTTTAAACATTCCTAGTGCAAAATAAGATCTTGTTGTTTGTGGTGGTGGTGGCTATTCAGGCTTAAGGTCTAGATTCCACTTAGTATGTAAGTAAATAATAGCAATCCTGGCTGTCATCTGTATGTGTAATGTAGTAATCAGTTTTGTTTAGCTAGTTCTTATGTGTAGCACATTAAAGCAATCTTGAATAGTGAGGGGACCTCATTACTAGATTACCATTAAATGGTAATGTTAAGTGACCCTGAAACCAAAGTAATGGAAAATTGTCTTCCTTTTTTTCTTTTTTTTTTTTTTTCCCTTGAGATGGAGTCTTGCACTGTCACCCAGGCTGGAGTGCAGTGGCTCATGGCAACCTCCACTTCTTGGGTTCACGAGATTCTCCTGCCTCAGCCACCCAAGTAGCTGGGATTACAGATGTACGCCACCACACCCGGCTAATTTTTGTATTTTTAGTAGAGATGAGGTTTCACCATGCCGGCCAGGCTGATCTCGAACTCCTGAGCTCAAGTGACCTGCCCACCTCAGCCTCCCAGAGTGCTGGGATTACAGGCATGAGCCACTGTGCCCAGCCTGTCTTCCTTTTTCTCAAACATTTAATTTGCTGTTTCTTGATCACATATCATCCTTCTTTCCTTTCAAGGTCAGGGGAGATAATTTTTTACTGTATGTACTGCTGCATCTTCACACAAATTATCATCTGAAAAGCCTTCTCAGATTTGACAAATGAAGTCTCTTTTCATTCCCAGGAGGAACTTGTTAAACCAATGAAGTTCAAAATTCTAATTCCTGTTCCTTTCTAGTGTGCACCACTTTATTCATCTTGAATAAACATACAACCTCAAGCATCCTACAAGGCAAATAGATTCCTTTTTAATTAGTGGCTCTATACACAGAGTTTTATCATCATGAAATTTATAAACCAGGAAGGGAACAAATATTTACACTTGCAACTTCATGTCAACATTGCCTACTATTTGAAGAGCTCTGAAATTGTAAATGTATCACCCCCTCCTTCTTCCCCCACTCCCCACCCCTGCCGGCTTTTAAACTATGGCAGTAGAAAAATAGGTTTCAACTTTCTAGGAGCACATCTCTCCTATGTGGGGAATGTGGCAGATTCTTTATATAAGTGCTCTTTCTTTGTGACTGGCATTACTTTTTTTTCTCACAAAGATTTGTTTCAGAAGCTAATCTTCATTTTTTTGGTTGTTGCTTTTTGTAGTACTATTTCTAAGGCATCTCCAAGTAGAAAGGCAAAATTTTATTTTGAGAAGTTACTGCTTTCATAGTTACACAGAATTATTTCTCAATTTAAGTAGGCCTTTTATTCCAGGACAAAATTAAGCCAGTCAGAAGGTTTCTGGGAGAAAAATAATGAAGAGCTGAGGTTTTGTATGTTAATGTGGGCAGTCTAATGCTTGATAAAAGAAAACTTTTGGCTGGGTGTGGTGGCTCATGCCTGTAATCCCAGCACTTTGGGAGGCCGAGGTGGTCGGATCACCTGAGGTCAGGAGTTTGACACCAGCCTGGCCAACATGGTGAAACTCCATCTCTACTAAAAATACAAAATTAGCTGGGCATGGTGGCGCATGCGTGTAGTCTCAGCTACTCGGGAGGCTGAGGCAGGAGAATCGCTTGAACCTGGGAGACTGAGGCTGCAGTGAGCTCAGATCGCACCATTGCACTCCAGCCTGAGTGACAGAGTGAGACTCCATCTCAAAAATAAAATAAATAAAATAAAGAAAACTTTTTTTTTGTTTGTTTGGCCCTTGTCAGGGACAGATTCCGTCTCAGAAAAGTCTCGCTCTGTTGCTCAGGCTGGAGCGCAATGGTGCAATCTCGGCTCACTGCAACCTCTACCTGCCGGTTCAAGCGATTCTCCTGCCTCAGCCTTCCCAGTAGCTGGGATTACAGGCATGCGCCACCACGCCTGGCTAATTTTTGTATTTTTAGTGGAGACAGGGTTTCACCATGTTGGCCAGGCTGGTGTCAAACTCCTGACCTCAGATAATCTGCCCACCTCCGTCTCCCAAAGTGCTGGGATTACAGGCATGAGCCACCACACCCAGCCAAGAAAACTTTTAAAGATGTGTAAATATGCAGTGATTTAAAAATCTCAGTTGAAGCTTGTTAAAATGTATCAAAATAATTTAGGAAAAGGGGGGCTGATTTTGCCAAAATTTGGGAGATGCATACTTTTTTTCAAGGCTTTACTGCAGTTTTAAAAAATATTTTATTGTTTTGTAGGCAGCTTCTGAACCAGAGTAGGCTCAGAGACTCCCTTTATTGCAGTTTTGATGCTGCAGAAAGTGACTGCTTAATTTCAGCTGTTGAGGATGTTGGTTATACTATGCCTGGATCAAAAAAATGATTTTACATTGCTTAGTTTGTTAAAATATGTTTAATAGGTTAATCTTTTTTTCAAAGCATCAAAAATAATTAAGATGAAATATCAGATAAACCCTATGTCTAGAATGAATAATTTAGTTCTAAACATCCTGGATGCTAAGGAGAAAAGAACAAGATGTTGGTTTATAAAATTCTTATTGTCAAATAAAGAAGCATAGAAGTTTGAAGAAAGATAATTTTTTTGTTTTTATTTTTTCTCTCTGAATTTAGGAGTAATTTATGTTTGGGTTCTAATCCTATGTTATCATCAAAGAGTAATAACATTGGCAATCTTCCCTCCCATTCTGCTTCATCCTCCCCACTAAAGGGAAATACCAGATTGTAAAAGAAAAAAAAAAAGCATGCTGGTTGTATAAAAAGAAACATTTTAAACAAATAAGAAATATATATATTGAAATGCAGTCTCCCTGAATGATGCTAAACCCCTGTCCAAGTAGGCATTTCTCAGCCCACAGAAAGGGATGGCATTAAATCACAGCTCAATGGAGACATTTTTATGAGGAGCTGTGATGGTTTGTGTTTAGCAAACATGTATTGGGCATCTCAGATTTGCCTGTTAGGGATGCAACAGTGAGTGAGATACTATTTGTTCCCTTAAGAAACTCAAAGAGGAAAGGGGTTGACTTGTTCAGTCAGTGACTTATGAAATATTTCATACTCATTCATTTACAGAGTACTTTTTGTAGGTATAGTACAGCGTGGTCAGCCAGGGAGACTATAGTGGGTGCATTAGTAACTAACCATACAACTAATGCTAATGTTGCGGGCTGACTGGGTTTGGGGTGAACAAATGACCCCTAAAGCTCAGGAGTTCTAGACCAGCCTGGGCAACACAGTGAAACCCTGTCTCTACTAAAATACAAAAAATTAGCCGGGTATGGTAGCATGTGCCTGTAATCCCAGCTACTCGGGAGGCTGAGGCAGGAGAATCACTTGAACCCGGGAGGTGGAGGTTGCAGTGAGCCAAGATGGTGCCGCTGCACTCCAGTCTGGGTGACAGAGCAAGACTCCATCTCAAAAAAAAAAAAAAAAAAAAGACATTTGTTTTGGCTGGGGAAGGCTTTGCAGAGGGAGGTAACTTCTAGATTGAGATTTGAAGTCAGAGTCCATCCAGAAAGTAGGGAAGACATTTTATGTAGAGAAGTAACAAGCTACAGGGATCAGAGGTATGAACCAGGGTGCATGTTTGGGTTATGGTGAGTGGTGTCTGGCCAAACTGTGTGGCTCAGGGTCTTTCTGCTTCACCATCTTTAGCATAGAAGCCTTCCTTGTGCTCACTTGCTCATCTCATTCTCACAAAATAGCTGCTTCATATCTAGGCACCATCTCTCTATTCCCACAGGGGAAAGAGGGAAAGTGCCAAGGGTAACAGCGGAAACGTCTTCCTTTTTATTCAGGAAATGAGGGACTCCCCAAGGCTTCTGCTTATATTTCATTGGCTTGAGCTGAGCCGTACAACCATCACTAGTGGCAGGTAGTCTGGGATGTCAAGAAAGTAGCTTCCCAGTCTCTTTGGTTAGAAGGCAAAGGAGAAGATGGTGGGAATCGGTTTGCATCAGTCACTCTACACATTATCTGCTTTGTTAGGGCAGCATTATCTTAGTATTGTTACCAAGTTCAGGGTCTTTTCTGGGGTGATCAAGCATCCTGGGTCGCCTGGGACCAAGTGGTTTTCTGGGTTGTAGGACTTTGAGTGCTATAGCCTGGAAAGCCCTAGGAAAACCAGGATGGTTGGCCATCCTAGTCTTTCCCCATATCCTCTGTTGTCCAAAAATATGGAAGCAGGTCATTTCTTGACATAGGAGCTGCCTTGACTGGGCTTAAAAAGGCCTGAAAGGCAGCTTAATAATTTACAATGAGAAATAAATGATATTGGATCAGGGGAGGATACTGGAAGAAGAGCTCCATGGGATTTGCTTGGTGCTCGTGAGATTTTGACTGACAAGAGATCTTAGGGCTACTATATTACCCAAATTCAGGGGACTCTGTTCACTTTGCCAGCAGCCTGGGATTAATTCTGTAGTGCTAATGCCATTCTGAGAAGCCTTTCAATGAATCTGAGCTCAGGGTTCTTAGTCCCCCTGTTACTGAAGCTTCTCCCCAGACAGTGTCGTTTTTGTTTTTTCCTTCCTTTCTAAGCTTCTGGTGCTGACTAGTCTCCCCTTCTAATGGACAGTGTTTAGATACGTTATTGTCTAAAGGTAGATCTGGCCAGGCATGGTGGCTCACACCTGTAATCCCAGCACTTTGGGAGGCCAAAGCTGGCAGATCACCTGAGGTCAGGAGTTTGAGACCAGCCTGGCCAACACGGTGAAACCCCGTCTCTACTAAAAATACAAAAATTAGCTGGACATGGTGACAGGCACCTATAGCTGAGATCCATTGTGAGTGCCATTGCACTCTAGCCTGGGCGACAGAGTGAGACTCCATCTCAAAAAATAATAATAAAAATAAAGGTAGATTAAAAAAAAAGAGACATAATTTGCGTTATCGTAAAATTTACTTTTTTAAAGTGTGTAATTCAGTGGTTTTTAGTATGTTCACAAAGTCATTCACCACTGTCTAATTCCAGAACATTTTTCTTACCCCAAAATGAAATCCTATACCCATTAGCATCACTGCCCATTTCCTGCTTCCTTTAGACTGTGGCAACCACTCATCTATTTTCTGTCTCTATAACTTTGCGTATTTTAGACATGTCATATAAATGGAATCCTATGGTATGTGGCCTTTTTTAAAAATCACTGGCTTCTTTCACTGAGCATAATTTTTCAAGTTCTTTTAAGCTGTAGTATGTATCAGTACTTCATTCTTTATAACTGCCAAATAATAGTTCTTTGTATGGATATACCACATTTTATTTCATTCATTCATTAGACATTGATGGTTCTACTTTCTGGCTATTATGAGTAGTAGTACTATGAACATTTGTGTACATATTTTTGTGTGGACACGTTTTTACTTCTCTTGGCTGTATACCTAGCAGTGGAATTGCTGGTCTTCAGGTGTGTCTTACTGATGTTTTTTTTTGAGATGGAGTTTTGGTCTGTCGCCTGGGCTGAAGTGCAGTGGCGCAATCTCGGCTCACTGCAACCTCCACCTCCCAGGCTCAAGCAATTCTCCTGCCTCAGCCTCCCAAGTAACTGGGATTACAGGCGCACGCCACCATGCCCAGCTAATTGTTGTATTTTTAGTAGAGACGGGGTTTCACCATGTTGGCCAGGCTGGTCTCGAACTCCTGGGCTCAAGCAATCCTCCTGCCTTGGCCTCCCAAAGTGTTGGGATTACAGGCGTGAGCCACTGTTCCTGGCCTTATCTTACTCTCTCTTTTTTTTTTTGAGACGGACTCTCACTCTGTCTTCCATGCTGGAGTGCAGTGGTGCAGTCTTGGCTCACTGCAACCTCCACCTCCCAGGTTCAAGCCATTATCCTACCTCAGCCTCTGGAGTAGCTGGGACTACAGGTGCAGCTAATTTTTGTCATTTTAGTAGAGATGGGGTTTCACCATATTGGTCAGGCTGGTCTCCATCTCCTGACCTCAGGGGATCCGCCTGCCTCGGCCTCCCAAAGTGCTGGGATTATAGGTGTGAGCCACTGTGCCCAACCATCTTTAAGCCTCCTTAAGGAGGCTGTGTCTCTAACATGCCCTGTTGGTTTTATAGTTGGACTCTCACTGGACAGCCTCGTTTTTCTAAGATTTGGGGGTTATAAGGATCAGAGTTGTCCCCAGTTGGCTCCTTTCACCTCGTCCATAAGGTTGTTGTGAGGCTTCACTGAGGTAATCTGTATAAAGTAAGGTGCTGGCCTGTACCCTGTACATCACTCAGTAGTGGTGATTTCACTGCCCTTTGCCTCCTGCCTTTGGCTTCTGGCTATCTCCAAACACCCCATGCCTTCTGTGCTCCACCCTCTGTTGAAACACAGGAATCTAAAACCATTCATTGATACTTTTTGAGTGATTATACTGAAAACAATTGCATGTTGTCTCATGCAGAATTTTCGTGTTAAACCCTGTGTTGCAAGGATGCCATTAACCAGCACACAGATGGCGGTGGAGATTGATTGATTGAGATGGGGTTTCGCTGTGTTGCCCAGGCTGGAGTGCAGTGGTGTAATCGTAGTTCACTGTAACTTTGAACTCCTGGACTCCAGTGATCCTCCTGTGTCAGTTTTCCAAGTAACTGGGACTACAGTCTCATGTCACTGTGCCTGGCTAATTTTTAAAATTATTTTATAGAGCTGGGGTCTCGCTATGTTGCCTAGGCTCTTCTCAAACTCCTGGCCTCAAAGCGATCCTCCTGCCTCAGCCTCCCAAAGTGTTGGGATTACCAGCGTGAACCACCACACTTGGCTGGGGATGGAGTTTTAGACACCAGAGGCTTCCTTCCGAGGTTGACCTAGAAAGCACCCTTGGTGGGTGCCATGGGATGGGGGAATACAGTCAAAAGGAACCTGCTCTTCCCGCTGCGCCTCCACCTGAGGTGGATGTGTCTGCTGGGGCTGCTGGAGTCTCCATCTTCCACTTTAACTTCACTTAAGAGCTGAAAGCTCTGCCCCTTCTTCAAGATTTTCCCTGCTGTCTCCCCTTCCCTGCTCAACCAGAGATTCCTCTTATTCTTCCTCTTGCTATTAGTATTAATCTGGCTCACTGACTCTTTTCCTTAACCTCATCCTAAAACTGTCTGATGCATATTTTATATTTTCTTGCATGTTTGACTTTTAGTTAGTATTTTACAGTAATTTCGTTCTGCAGCCATCCTCTTATCTGATACCCTGGAACTCATTCCTGTGCCTATCAGTTCTCACCTCTGGTAATTAAACTTTGTAAAAAAGAAATGTGACATTTGGACATATTCTCTTATTAGTAAAGGTATTATTGTGTATGAGACTAATGCTGTGCATCTATAATAAGTTGTTTCACCTTGTGAATACTAATGTAATTTGGAAATAAACCTTTCTTTGTTAAAGACTTTTTCTACATGGGCCACGTTTTTCCAGACCTATTTCCTAATAATTTGTGGTTTTTAAAGGTATGTCAATAGAGATGCTGTAGCCAGCATGGCTGGATTCTGTTAGATAAACATTTTGTGAGATTGCTTACCTTAAACAATTGTCTTTAAAAGTTAATTTCTTCCCTAATGTGTCAGTAAGGAAATTCTATAGTATTTAAGAAGCCTGATAAAGTCCAGTTAAAACATTTTGCATTGCTCTTTAAACATCTTTTCTGAGGGTTGATGTGTTCGTGTTTGTTTGGTTCACATAGTTTCTTCTGAATTTTAAGAAAGCTTTGTCAGAATCAGTAACTTGCCTATAGTGTATTTTTCATGACCATATGGCTTTCTTCATCAAAAACAGCTAAGTAAAAATTTCAGTGAATAATAGTATATATATATGGGAATGTATTCCTCATCATTTGTATGCTCTTGAGAGAGTGACTCATGTACTGTTTTCTATTGAGTTCCCGAAAGTTTATAAAGAGATGACAAACAATTGGCTATGGGATTGAAATAATGCACATGTAAAATGGAAGGGAAAACATGGAAACAGTTTCTTCCTTTGTTCTTCCCTTACCTTGATGAAATTTTTACCACTTAACGTTTTTCAGTAAAGTCAAGGTCAGTATCAGAGCCTAGTACGGTTCTGCTTGCCGCTGTCTGAGGATTACCTGTCTTATTACAGAATGTACATGCTCCCAGAGGAGAAGATACAGTTTGATTTCAGGATGACAAACAGCTCTTCTGGGACAATAGTGTCAAGTATAAAAGGATTATAAAGGTTTTAGGACCATGGGATGGTTTGAAGGGGAAAGGGTGAAATGACAGTTAAGGTTGGCATCACCGAGGTCCCAGTTGTTGGCTGCCCCCTACTTCTCCTGTTCCCCTCTGGCAGTATTTTACAGATGTATTTCCTTTGACCTTTCCTTTAGTAGGAAGTTGTAGGCTTTAAGATCCAGCAGAAAAAAATTATGAGCCATTTGTGACCCTCTTGAGCAGTCCTTCAGGTAGAACACATTTCATAAGAGCTAGTGAATGGTCTTGGGTAATTAAAGCTCACTTTATGATTATACAGTGTGGTGGCCAGCCCAGAGGGAACATCACAAATACACATTATGAATGTATAGAATTGAGACTTTATACCTGGAGACTGTTGGATGACCTGGTCCTCTGCCCCCAGGCCTACCCTTCTGCCCATCCTCATCCAATTCTGTTTTGATTTTTAAAAAGTATGTGCTTCTTAGCCCTCTCATTGCTTCACTGTGAGGGGAAAAACTTTTCTATTGAGGTGCTGAAGCTGTGCTTTCCAGGACTCATACTTATGTGCTGTTGAATGAGTCTCAGTGCTCCTAGGAGTCTATAAAAGGAATAGAAGACTTCTTTTCTCTAACTCCCTTATGGTTTGTATTTTATCTGCTAAGAGACACTGGCATTTCATGGAGATGGGAGAGAAAAAGACACAGCCTACTTAGACAGTTCCTTTATTCCAACATATATACTCACTTCACATATTCATAGACACCTTCCACCTAGCATCAAATTCTGAACTCATAGAAGACTTAGGTGTTTTTGGTTTTGTATGCATAGCTTTTGAAATCCCTGGGTTGAAAATTTTCTAGGTGTTGTTTGTATGCTCTAGTCAAGCCCAGGACATAAAGGGTTATGTTAAAATTACTTTCCTTAGTGACTATTAACCAGAAATTTTATCTGTCAGGAGAAAGGATTCATGCAACTCTAAGAATGCATTGCCCTCTGCATAGGCTATTAGCTTTGGCAACCGAAGATAGATGAGACTTAGGCTGTGTTTAAATTTTTCATTGTGATGAGACAAATCTATTATTATAAAAGCCCTACTTTATCAGTGAGAGTGTTTCCTTATGTTGTTTTAATTAAAGGAGCAGTGTGTTTTTAAATTTAATTATGGTACCTTGAAGATCTGATACTAGCTGTAAGCTAAGGATTCTTTGGGTTTTCAAGATTTTTTTTTTGGAGACGGAGTTTCACTCTGTTGCCCAGGCTGGAGTGCAGTGGCGTGATCTGGGCTCACTGCAACACCTGCTTCCTGGTTTCAAGTGATTCTTCTGCCTCAGCCTCCCAGGTAGCTGGGATTACAGGTGCGGGCCACCATGCCCGGCTGATTTTTTGTATTTTTAGTAGAGACAGGTTTCACCATGTTGGTCAGGCTGGTCTCGAATTCCTGACCTCAAATGATCTGCCATCTTCAGCCTCCCAAAATGCTGGGATTACAGGCGTGAGCTACAGTGCCCAGCCAGTTTTCAAGATTTTTAATGCATTTGGAGCAGCGCTATCCTAAAGAACCTTCTTTGATGATGGAAATTTTCTCTATCTGCACCATCCAATATGGTCTGGTAACCACCAGCCACATGTGGCTATTGAGCACTTAAAATGTGGCTGAGACTGAGAAACTAAAATTTTAATTTTCTTGAAAATGTAAATTAATTAATTAATTAATTTATTTATTTATTTAGAGACAAGGTCTTGCTCTGTTACCCAGGCCGGAGTGCAGTGGTGCAATCATAGTTCACTGCAGCCTCGACCTCCTGGGCTCAAGTGATTCTCCTGCCTTAGCCTTCTGAGTAGCTGGGATTACAGGCATGTACCACCATACCTGGCTAATTAAAAAAAAAAAATTTTGTAGATATGGGGTCTCTCTATGTTGCCCAAGCTGGTCTGGACTCCAGGCCTCAGCCTCCCAAAGGAGAAAATGTAAATTTATATAGTCGCATGTGATTAGTGGTTATTGTGTTGGACAGCACAGATTTAGAATCTGAGGAAACTCTCCATTTAGTATAATGCCATCTGAAGCTCTTAACCAGTTGAGGCTGGTTAAATCTGAAGTTGATATTGGATAATATTGCTATTAGGCCAATGAGAGATTTCTTTAATAAAGATGCAAGTTTATCAAACTTAAATATGCTAGATATGAACTTTGGGAAGGCAAAAATTAATTCCAGAAATAATTCCAATATAATTAATTGAACAAATATTTAGAAAATGTTATCTAGGATAAAGAAGTGTAGTAAATATTGTGGAGGACTCAGAGGTGAGTGGGACTTAGGTGAGGCTGCCTATTTTGAGTCCTGCTGGGGAGGCCTTGAAAGGTCAAGGAGAAGTTCTTTTTTTTTTTTTTTTGAGATGGAGTCTTGCTCTGTCACCAGGCTGGAGTGCAGTGGCACGATCTCAGCTCACTGCAACCTCTGCCTCCCAGGTTCAAGCGATTCTACTGCCTCAGCCTCCCGAGTAGCTGGGACTACAGGTGCACGCCACCACATCCAGCTAATTTTTTGTATTTTTAGTGGAGACAGGGTTTCACCATGTTGGCCAGGATGGTCTTGATCTCTTGACCTTGTGATCCTCCCACCTTGGCCTCCCAATGTCCTGGGATTACAGGTGTGAGCCACTGCGCCCGGCCAGGGGAAGCTCTTTCTAAGGGAGTAGCTTAGAGCACAGAATGCCAACTGGGTTATCATCAGGCTGTAAACAGTAGGATTTCAGTTTGTGCAAGCACGATGGTTGGGGCTGTAACAGGAGAAGGGGGAGCTGTTTACATCAGGGGAACATTAGGTTACATTTGGCTCTGACAGGCAAGATTAATTTTGTCTGAGAGAAGGTTGAGGTGGGATTGGAATTTTCCCAGGTATGCCCTGCGATGTTCTGCTGAGTTTCATGTGTGTTGGAGCAGGCCTCTCAGGCCATCACAGTTCTGGGAGATGGACTTTCCAAAGATTGGGAAGCTGGAGGCAGGGACACCTGGACACAGAGCCTTCTTCACCCCCACCTGCATCCCAGGTGAGGAGGAATTCTTGAAAATGCCGAGTTTGACTCACCAACCAGGAGTATCTAATGTATATAAATATTCCTTTAAACGTAAGTATAGTGATGAGTAGATAAGCCAGAGTATTTAAAAGCCACAGCAAAGATTCAGCTTCCTCTCCGCTCCCCCGTGCCCCACATCTGGGAGGACCCCACCTGAGCTTGGTGTTATAGTTGGCTGATGCTCTTAGGTGGAAACCCAGGGGCAAAGGACAAGCCACAGAAACATAGGCTGCATCTGCTCCTACTCTGTACTTCCACCTTACCTGCCCATTAAGTGCTATGTTCTTGACTAAATAATTCATGTATCGCAGAGAGGGAAGGTATGTGTTCCCACCAACCTCTGACCCATCCATAACCCAGTGTATTACACTGACCCAGGAACCAGAGCTCACTTCACCCTGCTTGGAGTCAGGGAACTCGGAACCTAACTGTCCTGGGCCCTCTTTCTGGTAGTTGGGTGAGTCCTGAGGGCCTGATACGTGAGGTTTGGACAGGCTGGGCAGTAGGTTATGGCATATCTTGTAAGGGAGACCATGTCAGCAGTGGGGAGCAGAATGCAGAGGAATCAAAGACCTGATCTCATAGTGCAGGTGTGAAGGGAGAAGAGCCAGCCTTTCTCCACCGTCTCTCTGGGGACAGGGGACTGTCTCGCAGGGACTACACCTTGGCATTTGGGCATGTCAGACCAGGATCTAGTCATCAGAGTTACCCAATGCCCTGGGGTTGGTTTCTACCAGGTCAGGGATGCAGTTCTGCAGGCAGTATGTTACATCTGAGACTACAGGAGAGAGGGGTGGGGTGACAGTCTTTCCATAGGGTGTCCAGACACTCCTGGCCCAGGGACTGAGCCATGGATAGTGGGATGCTTGCCTCTCTGTGTGGCAGGGCTTTCGTCTCTGTTTTTTGTTTTTGAGATGGAGTCTTGCTCTGTTGCTCAGGCTGGAGTGTAGTGGCGCAATCTTGGCTCACTGCAACCTCTGCCTCCTGGGTTCAAGCAATTCTGCCTCAGCCTCCTGAGTAGCTGAGATTACAGGCACATGCCACCATGCCCAGCTAATTTTTGTATTTTTAGTAGAGATGGGGTTTTACCATGTTGGCCAGGCTGGTCCTGAACTCCTGACCTCAGGTGATCCACCTGCCTCAGCCTCCCAAAGTGCTGAGATTACAAGTGTGAGCCACCATGCCCAGCCTGGTCTCTGGTTTTGAGCCATGATGTCAGGCTGACCAGGCTGGCACATTTAGCCTGGAATGGGTTAGGCTTCTGGCTTTGATGTTAAGAAAGGAAACTAGTGCCAAGTGCAGTGGCTCCTGCCCATAATCTCAAGACTTTGGGAGGCTAAGCCAGGAGGATTGCTTGAGCCTAGGAGTTTGAGACCAGCCTGGGCAACATAGCAAGACCCCACCTCAAAAAAAAAAAAGGTAGTTTGGTGTGGGGCATGCGCCTATAATTCCAGTGCTTTGGGCTGAGGCACTTTGGGGAGATTGAGACTGCAGTAAGCTATGATTGTGCCACTGCAGCCCAGCCTGGTTGACAGAGTGAGATCCTGTCTGGAAAAAAAAAGAGAACTGGCTGGTCCTTCCTGAAATAGTGCCCACAGGCTGGCAGAGCACTGACTGACACCTGCCTCTTTCAGAGGTGGGGTCAGGATAGCTGTATGGAAATTCTCCAATGTGTGGGTTGTAGGAGTGTATCTCATATCCCTTCAAGCACTGCCAGGCCAGAACCCAGTGGAGTTTGCAAAGAATGGGTTTCTTGTTAGAAGAAAGTATTACGTACATGTAAGTAATCTTGGGTATAGCTGGGAAGTGATGAATAAATTTGACCATTAAAAGATTGTAATGTCTGTATCACCAAAGACAAAATCACAAATATAATTAAAAAACAAATAACAGACTAGGAGAAAATAGACCATGTGCAATACACAAAGGATAAATACAGAGTATATAAAGAAGCTTCTGCATATTAATAAGAAAACACTAGAATAAATGGGCAAAAGATATAAAAAGGCATTGACAGAAAGGGAACAAATGGCCAATAAATACAAAGAGATGCTTAACTTCATTAATAATTAGTGAATTACACATTAAAGCAACTAGATATGATTTTATCCCATCAGATTGGCAGAAATTAAAGAGAATAATATTCTTTGGCGGCAATGAGAAAAAATGGGTGTACTTTCATATTCTGAGCATATAAATTGTTCAGACCTTTTTGGAGAAGGTAGTTTGGCTGTATCTTTGAAAATAAAATCACATACTTTTAATTTGGTAATTTTGTGTCTAGTGAAATACACCTGAACACATGCTCATTCCAGCACTGGAATGGTGAAATATTGGAATGATTAAATGTACAGTGGTACAGCCAGCATATAGAATGCGATACCTAAAAAGTGTGTAAGAGTGTGGTATAGATCTTTATGCAGCTGATGTGGGAGGCTCTCTCAGATACGTTTTTAGTGAGAAAAAATATAAAATTATTACATTTATATTTGTAAACCTCAAAATTTATATGTATTTGTAAATTCTAAAACATGCTTTTCAGATTTTTTAACATTTCTGAAATCAGCGTATCTAACAATTGGTGACATAGTTTACTAATTTAAACTCTTGGTGAAGCATAGTGCACATTACAAGTGATAAGATCTTAGATTTGATGAAGGATGATATGTAAATACGTGGATAAAGGACTCTAAGACAGACATGGGACGAGATTGAGGAAGTGTCAGTGGAGACTTTGTCTGTGTCATCTATGTTGTCAAATTTTTTTTACAGTGAAATTATATTCCATTATTGTGTAACGAAAAATTTTAAAAATACATATTTATATTTTTTAGACAAGATATAATTTTAGACAAGATAAGGTTGCCTGGATGTCTCTGATGTCTGATCCATTTCTCTACTTGGGTGATTATGCTTGATATTCAGCTTTGAGAACTTTAAGGCCTGGATGGTTGATAGAGCGTTCAGCTTCATTAAGAAGTTAAGTAGCTGTGAAGATTCAGTGGGAGAGAATTGAGAACTGAGGTCCAAGAGAAGGGAGGAGCCGAACTCCAGAATTCAGGGCCAGTTGCCTCATGGGGACCTTTGCATCTGTGTAAAGAGGTTGAAATTCTCTCCCCACAAGGTGGTGCCAGGCTTTTTATACTGGACTGGGCATACCCTGGAGCAAGGCTCAGTGGATGGGAGGCAGAAAATAGATCAAATCAAGGAGCCTTATCCAATGTCATTGAAAGGAAAATTCATTGTTTTGGGAGAGAGCTAAGCCCTAGTGGGAAAGAGCCAAAGGAATAAATGGGCTTTTAAATCTGAGGAATTTACACAAGGCAGGCAGGAGATGACCTGCCATAGGTTGGAGGCAGGCTCTGCTTGGATCCTGTGTAAACAGGGCATAGTGTGAGTGTCTCCCCATAAGTAAAAGCTGTGTTGTGAAGATGAACTCACAGTTTAGTAGTGACTTTTTGACCAAAGATGACTCTTCAAGAAGGGATAAGGTGTATGGAGTATAGCTCATTGCCAGGACTGTGGGAGGCAGAGGAAGGAGAGGACACTTGGCCAAGATGCCATTTGAGCTGGTCACTGTAGGAAAGGGAGAATTTGGACATGTAATTTTTTTTTTTTTTTTAAGACAGAGTCTCACTCTGTCACCCAGGCTGGAGTGCAGTGGTGTAGTCTTGGCTCACCACAACCTCTGCCTCCTGAGTTCAAGTGATTCTCCTGCCTCAGCCTCCCCAGTAGCTGGGACTACAGGCACATGCCAGCTGCCTGGCTCATTTTGTATTTTTAGTAGAGATGGGGTTTCGCCATGTTGCCCAGGCTAGTCTTGAACTCCTGACCTCAAGTGATCTGGCCTGGACATGTAATTTTTAAGGAGATATTCAGAAGAAAAGGGAGGTGAGCCCACCATTTACAAATGCACACAGGAGGCCGGGTGTGGTGGCTCACACTTGTAATCCCATTACTTTGGGAGGCTGAGGCAGGCAGATTGCTTGAGGCTAGGAGTTTGAGACCAGCCTGGCCAACAATGCAAAATCCCGTCCGTACTAATAATATAAAAAATTAGCCGGGCCACTGCACTCCAGCCTGAGTGACAGAGCAAGACTCCGTCTCAAAACAAACAAACAAACAAACAAAAATACACACAGGAGAATGTGAGGAGCTGAGTAGTACAGTTTTCTCGGAGTACACGTCTATTAAAGGGAAGCAGTAGGAAGTAAAATAGAAAAAGGTAGGCTAGGGCCGGACCATGAAGAGCTGAGAATGCCAAGTTTAGAAATTTGACCTTGAGTCAGTGAACTCATGTTTTACATTTAATCTTTTGGTTACCAATTTTTTTTTGTACCATCATTGGTTTGATTTTTAAAATACAGTCACTTTGTTTTCTAAGGATTTTATGATATATGTTCAAATCTTGAGTTAAAGGTAAATAGAACACAGTTTGGGTTTTTTTTTGGCATATAAATGGTTGAATTTCAAAATTATATTTGTGTTACAAACTTTGTTTTTACTCTCTGCCTTCCAGCATTTGCAAATAACCATTTCTCTTTCAAAGGAAATTCTAGTATGTATTCCCATTCAATAAAAGCAAAGAGCTGAGCTCTATATGAATAAGAGGTAAAATTGAACATGAAAATTACTGAGCAAGATTAGTGGGGGATGAAATGGATGAACATTGGGGAAAGCTGTGATCCTTGTTACCTTTGCTATAGTGCAATTTGGAATGGCTTCTTTATTCCTGGCAATTCCTGACAGCATTTCTTTTAAACCTGGCCACCTTTCCATTGCCAGCTCGACCTTGATGTTAGCTGGTGCTGCTACTGCAAGGGCTGCCTTTGGCAGGAAGCCTTCAGTCAACTTTCTGGGCTCTGGTTTTGGCTCTGCACATGCCTTGCTGAGAAGACCTTAAGAATCTGAAATGTGGAGGGTCATTTTGGGGTAGGGAAATGTGGTGGCAACTCTTGAGTTTTCTGCCACGATGTAACTTAACAGATCCTCTTGTTTTTCCTTAAATGGTACAAGGGTTTGCACCGAAATGGTAATTCATCTGTGTCTGTGATGCTTTAAAAAATAACAGTTTCACTAATGTGTCACAACATGTATTATTTATCATTTTAGTAAATGGATATTTTAACAAGCAACAATTTGCAAATTTAAGCATGGCAGTTAACATGATCTGACATTAAAAAATTAAATAATCTCCTGCCATCTTTGTTATCAGCCTTGCATTAAGGATTTTAGCCCTTCTGGGAGCTTTTATTTTTTTGTTGACTCTGACTGATGATGGCAGATTGTGGTAGTGATCAGAGCTATGCTTTTATAAATTATTTTTTAGTTGGAACAATATTGGCATGTAACGTGGACTGGCAGAATTAACATTGTTTATCATTACCAGTGTTGTTTTGACAGATATTCTCAGTTCTTTAAGGAAGCAGATAGGGAATGTCTGTAATGGACATCTGCTGTCCACTATAGGTTGCCCAATAATGAGTCCTGGTAGGTTCTACCTTCTGCTGTGGAAGCCAGCAGAGTTCAAATGGGCATTTTCTGTTCTTGCCTCCTAGGAACTGCAGGGGTGGACATGCTTCTTAGGCTTAGCCTGTTGACTGCTTCCACCTGGAGTTTGAATCTGAACAGTGTTAGAAAATGCAGGGACAGGCTGAGTGTGGTGGCTCACGCCTGTAATCCCAGCACTTTGGGAGGACAAGGAAGGAGGATCACTTGAGCCCAGGAGTTCGAGACCAGCCTGGGCAAAAAAGCAAGACCCAGTCTCTACACAAAGTAAACAAATTAGCCAGGCATGGTGGTGTGCACCTGTAGTCCCAGCTACTTGGGAGGCTGTGGTGGGAAGATCCTTTGAGCCTAGAAGTTTGGGGTTGCAATGAGCTATATTTGCCCCACTGCACTGCAGCCTGGGGGACAAAGAGAGACCCTGTCTCCTATAAAGGCAGCGACAGTTAGTAGTGGCACTAGAGTTACTAAAATTATCAAGATTTTCTTCCTGGATAGTCCTGGTTGCACACATCAGTGTTACTATAGGTGGACTTAGCCTTTACTTTTGTACATTTCGCACTGATACCTCTAACCACCTTTTGTGCACATAGCAGCTATTATACCCCCCATAGCATAACCAACCTGTGTAAGAGAAGAGTATAAGTCAGTTGCTTGCAAGGAACTCTTAGGGGTAGGGAGCTCTTGCCTGGGGGAGGTGGGGGTTTCTCCTCTTTCTGTCCTCCCCTAGTCATTAGAGAAAGGCCTCAAGAGAATAACTCAGAGATTACGGTTGAATTCAAGAGGGTAGATTGACATCTCATTGAGCTGCACAGAGGTACCAGCCAGGTGCTGCTGTGGGATTAGAATGGACTCCTGAGAAAGCGTTCTTGAGTGAGTGTGGTGTGGCTTTCCTGGAGTTTGGGGATGTCTGTGAATACAGAGGCAAGTATCTTCCTCTCATCTGAAAGCCCCCCATGTGGCTGGAGCTGCCCCTGGGGACAGTGTATGGAGAGAGGACAGCAAAAACGCTTGACATTTCCTGTGGGCCTGGTGGTCTACATGGAGGACAGCTGGCCTGAGTCTTTTTGAAAGACTTGTCCTGCCTGCGAAGGCTGCCTGCCAGGGCTAGGCCCGCAGCAGAAAGAGGTTGTGGGTGAACCACAGAGGCAGGAGCTGAGAGGAGACTGAGAGCTGAGTCAAAGGGCACCCGTTGCCTGCATCAGGCAGCATGGAGGTCCCAGCAAAGGGGTCTCACTAGAGAGAGCTGGCATGTGGACTCCTGCAAATGGTGGAAGATATTTTACAGGCTGCAGGACTGGACCACAGAAAAGTGGGCAGACCTTTCCCTTTCCTCACACTTGCCGCCTTTCATTCCTTGGACCCCTCTCTTTTTCCTCACTGCTGTTCTTAGGGGAAAAGCTTGACATTGGATAAAATGAATTTGGATTTAGACTAAATAGACTTTTTAATAACTGAAAGTTTGGCTTTATTTAAGATAATATTTTCTTTTTAAAACACTGTCTAGAAATCAGTGGGTTTTTTTTTTTGTTTTTTGTTTTTTTTTAAAGACAGAGTTTCGTTCTTGTTGCCTAGGCTGGAGTGTGATGACGCAATCTCAGCTCACTGCAACCTCCATCTCTGGGGTTCAAGCGATTCTCCTGGCTCAGCCTCCCGAGTAGCTGGGATTACAGGCATGCACCACCACGCCCAGCTAATTTTTGTATTTTTAATAGAGATGGGGTTTCACCATATTGGCCAGGCTAGTCTTGAACTCCCGATCTCAGGTGATCTGCCCACCTCAGCCTCCCAAAGTGCTGGGATTATAGGCATGAGCCACCACGCCCAGCCAAAATTAGTGGTTTTAATGTTACTAAATCCTGAAATAGCTTTCCATGATGACAAAATCAATCAACAATCTCAACCCCAGTAGACTGGAGTGGATTTTAGAATTTAGCACACTTTCCCTTATTTATACTCTGCAGGTTTCAAGCATACAACTTGCCAGCAATTACTGTGTTGGCTGAGAAATTTGAAATTTTACTAGCTTGAACACTAAATTTGTTGATGTAACATACAGCTAATAATAAAGGTCACGTCCCCATATTGGCATGAGGGACCCCTTATGAATTAGCCTGAAACTTTGCAGCCTTTAATCATATTTTTCTCTCTTTTTTCCCTTGAGACGGAGTCTCCCTCTGTCGCCCAGGCTGGAGTGCAATGGCACGATCTCGGCTCGCTGCAACTTCGCTTGCCGGGTTCAAGCCATTCTCCTGCCTCAGCCTCCCAAGTAGCTGGAACTATAGGCATGAGCCACCACGCCCAGCTAATTTTCGTACTTTTAGTAGAGACGGGGTTTCACCATGTTCACCAGGCTGGTCTCGAACTCCTGACCTCAAGTGATCCACCCACCTCGGCCTCCCCAAGTGCTAGGATTATAGGCATGAGCCACCGTGCTCGGCCATGTTGTTATTTTTGGTTTGTTTGTTGATTATGGTTTAAAAAAACCACATAACATTAAATTTACCATCTTTGCCATTTTTAAGTGTGTAGTATGGTAGTGTTAACTGTATGCAACAGTTAGTGCAACAGATCTTTAGAGTTTTTTTATCTTGTAAAACCGAAACTCTGTACCCAGGAAGCAATTCCTGATTCCCTGCTTCTGCCAGCCTCTACCAACCACCATTCTACTTTTTGTTGCTAAGAGTTTGATTACTTTCGATAACTCACATCAGTGGAATAATGCAGTATTTGTTTTTTTCTTACTGGTTTATTTCACTTAGCTTAATGTCCTCAAGGTTCATCCATGTTGTAGCATGTGACAAGATTTCCTTCTTTTTAAGGATGAATAATATTCCATTGTATGGATAGACCACATTTGCTTTATCTAGTTGTCTGTTGGTGAACATTTAGGGTACTTCTACCTTTCGGCTCCTGTGAACACTACTGCAGTGAACATGGGTAAGCAAAAATCTCTTTGAGATCCTTTTGGCTATATACCCAGAAGGGGATTGCTGGATCATCATTCTGTTTTTAATTCTTTGAGGAGCCGCCAAACTGTTCTTTATAGCAGCTACGCCATTTTACATTCCCACCAGCAGTGCACAGAGATTACCATTGCTTCATATCCTTATCAACACTTGGTTTTTTTTTTTTTGCCATTTTAATGGGTCTGAGGTGATATTTCATTATGGTTTTGATTTGCATTTCTCTAATGATTAGTGATGTTGAACATCTTTTTATATGCTTCTTGCCCATTTGTATATCTTCTTTGGAGAAATGTCTTTTGAAGTGCTTTGCCCATTTTTTAATTGCATTAGTTTGTTGTTTTTTTGATTTGTAGGAGTTATTTATATATTCCGGGTATTAATGCCTTATCAGATATTTGGTTGAAAATATTTTCTCCCATTCATAAGTTGCCTTTTCACTTTGCCCTTTAATCATATTATTATTATTATTATTATTATGGTTAAAACATTAATTGTGTAATACTGAAAAGTTTAGGAAATAATATGACAGATTTTGATCAGGTCTTAAATATCTTCCCAATAGGCCCTATGAGTAAGGCATAAAAAGCTTGAATTAATTCCATAGTTTCACCAAAACGCTCTTCTTCTTAATCTTATTCCTTATTTTTTTGAGGCAGAGTCTTTCTGGCCCAGGCAGCCTGGAGTGCAGTGGTGCAATCTCAGCTCACTACAACCTTCACTTCCCGGGTTCAAGCGATTCTCGTGCCCCAGCCACCTGCGTAGCTGGGACTACAGGTGTGAGCTACCATGCCTAGCTAATTTTTGTATTTTTAATAAAGATGAAGTTTCACCGTGTTGGCCAGGCTGGTCTCGAACTCTTGGGATTCGAGTGCTGGGATTATAGGCATGAGCCACCATGCCTGGCCCTTAATCTTGTTCCTATCAATCTTTCCAGCTTTACCTTCCCCAGCATGACTTCCTCTTATCCCCTTCCTATGTCCAAAGATTCCCTAAAAATATTCTAGCTCTGTACCATTCCACACACTGCTTTTTTGTTGTTGTTGTTGTTGTTGTTTTTTTTTGCCTGAAATATGGGATATGTACCTTTCCCTCTTGTTTAACCTTGTTTTTCAGACTCCTTCTTTTTCTTTTCCTTTAAAGACTCAGCCCAGATGTGAAAATGTTCCAGTCAGCCAGTCAGCTGCTTTTCTCTCCTATAGCCTCTTAGGTACAGCCCAGGTTAGCACACTTGTCTGAAAGTATTGTGAGGACTTTTATAAACCCCCTCTCTCCAGGACCATATGCTGCTAGATCACCTAGCTTAGCTTTGCCTTTTTATTCCTCTTTGTCATGGGCCTACCATAATATCTAGTCCATAATATTTGTGTACTTTAGTTTTTTATTTATTTATTTATTTTTGAGATGGTGGTCTTACTCCATCACCCAGGCTGGAGTACAGTGGCACGGGATCTCGGCTCACTGCAACCCCCGCCTCCTGGGTTCAAGCTATTCTCCTGCCTTAGCCTCTGAGTAGCCGGGACTACAGGACACGCCACCACGCCCAGCTAATTTTTGTATTTTTAGTAGAGATGGGGTTTCACTATTTTGGCCAGGCTGGTCTCAAACTCCTGACCTCAAGTGATCCACCTGCCTTGGCCTCCCAAAGTGCTGGGATTACAGGCATGAGCCACAACACCCGGCCTATTTGTGTACTTTAAACGATTATGGGTAGAAAGAAAGAGCAAATGCCTTTTTAGAAATAAGATAACAGAACTTTTTACCAATTGTGCTTCCAAATATGCTTTCTCTTCTAATTTTATCTGCTAAGATTTTGGCAGCTAATTGTAGATTTTATGAACTTACATTGGGTTGCCTTTGTCTTCTGTTATAAAAGCAATAATTAGAGGAAATGATCCTTTTGAGAGGTTGTTTAATGAATTCTGCTTGTTTTAAATGTGCTGCTTTAAATCTTATTTCACGTAAACTGTACTAATGCCCAAATTATCTCACCCTAGATCAGCATTGAACCAAAGTATTATGATGATTAATTTCCTTCTGTTAAATCCCTTATAGTCTTTTCTTTGGTGTGTGTGTGGGGTCAACAATCAAAGAAAGAATTTATTGACTTTACATTTAATATGGTTTACTCTACTTGATTATATTGTTCAAGTGTGAATTTGTGTATGGTATAAGATTATGCCATACTGGGATTCTATTTTCTGTTAAACAAATAGCTTTGTGTTTTATTAACTGCCAGTGTTTAAATTTAATGGTTTAAGATTTCAGAGAGCCCTTTTTGTAAGTATTTGAAAGTTTTTATTATAATCCTGAGCCTAACCTTCTTCTGGTTTCACTGCATCCTTCTCCAGCCTTGAAACAAGCCCTGGCACAGACGCAAATCCTGGCGTGCACCACCTCTTCCTCTCCCCCGCTCCCCACTCTAACATGACAAGAAGTGTCTGTCCCAGAAGTAATCTGATTGTGCACCTAGAGTACCTGTTTTCTGCCTGGGGAAGAATGCACACTGCTGGACCTAGAGCGGTGGCAAAAGTGCCCTCTCCACTGTGGGGGCCACAGTGGTAGGCACAACCCTTATCCCTCAGCCCCATTAGTTAATTAAGTCATTTTACCTGCATTAAACTTTACGGGCAGAGAAAATTCAGTAAGTCACCACTACCAGGTGACTTTCTTTTTTATGTTACCCCCTAGCAAGGCATGTAGTTTGCATCCTACAGAATATAAAAGATGGGGCCAGCATCTATTCTGTGTCTTAGCAGTGAACTTCATCCAATAGATACTTGATTTTTAAATACTTTCACCTTGTGTCATGATTAAATCACTAAACAGGAAGTTTCAGCTTTTCTTTAAAGAAGTACATCCTATTAAAAATTTAAATGTCTTCATAACTGCTTACGCTCAGTAAATGAACACTAGGAATCTATAAACAGGAATCTATGGCTCTAAAAATTGAAATTTTGGGGGCTGTTTCATTCTTTAGAACTTGAAAACGCCATAGGCAATTAGCTATAATTCATTTGCAGATTATTTTTGCCATGTTAAATTAGGAATTTTAGCCATAGCAAGCATAACAGACAAGCACACTTTTAAATTATTTTGTTCAGCAAAACACCATAGGCCCTTATATGTGTTTGCTGGAATTTTTCTTTGTCAACAATAAATCTATATGTTTCTTTAGTTAAAAAAAAAACAGCAACAAAGTGTTTATTGTAGAATGTTTACTTTTTAAACAAACGTGAAAGGCATTGGTACAAAAAGGGAAAAGCACCTAGGATTTGGATCCTCAGTGGGTCCAGGAGTACAGCTTCCTTGTTCTGCAGTTACTGGAGGCAGTGTGGTGAGGGGAAGGATGTGGGCTTTGGACTGAGCTGCTGCTTCTACCTGTGCTATGACTTTGCACAAGTTAGGAGTAGCCTTTTTGAGCTTTGTTTTCTCCTTAGAAGATGACTAAGATCATGTTTGCACATAGCACATGACACAAACTCATGATACTGGTTTTGTTTTTTCTAACATTGTCTCAGTGGGTCTTCACTGCCTTCTTTCTACAATTTTTTTTTTTTAAGGGAATAGGGTCTTACTCTGTTGCTCAAGGCTGGAGCGCAGTGGCTGATCATTGCTCACCATAGCCTCAAATTCCTATTCACTGCCCTCTTATATAGTGGATAATGTGGGCGTTAGTCTCATGCAGTTAAGAGAACAGGTTCAAAAGAAGTTTTGAACTGTCTGTTTTATTTTCACAAGGCCAGTCAGTGACAGAGAAAGAACTTCCACTTGGGTGTCCTGGCTCTGTGTCCCATGGTTTTCCTACTGAAATACTATTACTGTGCTATAGCAGAAGAAAGAAGGCTAAGACAGTTCTGTGCTTACAGTCACCTTCAGTTTCAAATGTAATCATATCCTGGGGGAGGGGAAATGAAACTTTGAGTTTCATCTCCCAAATCATTCCTTTATTTAGAATCAACCGGCTGGGCACGGTGGCTCATTCCTGTAATCCTAGCACTCTGGGAGGCTGAGGTGGGTGGATCACTTGAGGTCAGGAGTTCAAAACCAGCCTGGCCAACATGGTGAAACCCCCGTCTGTACTAAAAATACAAAAAAAAAAAAAAATAGCCGAGCATGGTGGCAGGCACCTGTAATCTCAGCTACTTGGGAGGCTGAGGCAAGAAAGTTGCTTGAACCCAAGAGGCGGAGGTTGCAGTGAGCTGAGATTGCGCCACTGCACTCCAGCCTGGGTGACAGAGCAGTACTCCATCTCAAAAAAAAAAAATAGTATCAATGAATTCAAAGAAATAAAATGTTTTTCATGTACTCATGGAAACAACTATTTCTAAAATTCTAAATGAATTATTATTATTATTATTATTATTATTATTATTATTATTATTTGAGACGGAGTTTCTTTCTTGTCAGTCAGGCTAGAATGCAATGGCGCGATCTCGGCTCATGCAACTTCTGCCTCTTGGGTTCAAGGGATTCTCCTGCCTCACCCTCCCCAGTAGCTGGGATTACAGGCGCCTGCCACCATGCCTGGCTAATTTTGTATATTTTTAGTAGAGATGGGGTTTCACCACGTTGGCCAGGCTGGTCTCGAACTCCTGACCTCTGGTGATCCACCCACCTTAGCCTGTCAAAGTGCTGGGATTACAGGCATGAGCCACCGCGCCCGACCTCTAAATGAATTTTTAAAACTCCAGCATCTCACAAATGGTTCTTGAATAATTTTTCCTTAGCCTGCAGTGTTTAAGTTGGGTTTTGAAGGTTTTGTTACTCAATAGTCACCCTTTTTTGGGTGTAAGTTTGTCCTCTACTCCTGAGTAAGTAAGTGACCTTAGGGCAGTATTACCATGAAACAGATCTCACAAATAACATTGATACCAACATCATTATTTTTGGTCAAATGTTAAATAGTTAAAATTTGTCATCCTAGTCTATATTGAACTAATTTGAAATACCTTATATTTAAGCAAACTTTATTGTTTTTAACATAGCAAAACAATTAATAAAACTTTAAATCAATTACACATGAAACAGTAAGAAAGCAGTGCAAGATTAAAATCTCTAGGTAAGTGTTCTATAGTGTATAAGTAAGTTCTGTAGAACTTCAGAAAAAAGAGAGGTCAGTAGGATTCTTAGAGCAAAGTGTGATTTTATCTGTACTTTGGGTCAGAATAACTTTTCTGATTTTTTTTATTACTAACATACCTAAACACAGATAATGTTAACATTAATTAAGTGACCTTAGGGCAGTATCACAATGAAACATCTCACAAGTAACATTGATACTAACACAATTATTTTTAGTCAAATGTTAAATATTTAAAATTTGTCATCCTTGTCTATATTGAACTAATTTAAAATATCTTATTGAAATATATTATTAATTAATTCATATCAGACTTAGCTAGAGACACCTAATGTTCAAAACAGAAAGTAGAGGTGGATTGGGCCCAGTTGGCTCCAGTTGCTCAGAGGATGTGGTCAGTGCTGTTTTTGTACATCTTGAGCTCTGCTCACTCTGTCTGCGAGTAGGTTTTGCGTTTTGCTTGTTGGCTGTCTTGTTGGGGGTGGGAAAATGGCTGCCCATACCTTCTGCCAGGTGGGCAACCCCAAAGACTTTTCTTTTCCAGCGCACGTGTAGGAGCAGCCTGTTGGAGGCATGTGCCCATGCTTTAGACTGTCACCCAGGTCATGAGGACTGTGGTTTGAAGAGTGTGCTCACTCAACTGGCTAGGGGGTGAGGGCACTGTGTTTGACAACTGTCAAGGACTAGCGAGGTTCCCAGATGAAAGGGGGTGATATACCAGAAGAAGAGGCATGGGTGGGAAATGTGCATAGCAGTCCCAGCCAATAGCTATCACTGCCTACCACATAGTGCTACAAAACAGCGTAAGAATTATTCATTGAGTGCAAATGTTGGGGGAGTGGGGGTTAAACAGAGACCTATTCTAAGTGATTCTTGACTGTTTGTCCAGGTGTCATTCCTTGTTATAGGAGTTTTAAAAGCAGAAAATTCTCAACTGCTCATTCACCTAATACTCCATGAAAGTATATATTCTTGAGTGTCCTAAGTGTGTGTCCTTTGAAATGTTTATATATATAAAAGATATTTTAAGTATAAAATCTTAAATATCTTTTACACTTAAAATATCTTTTATATTTTATATTTGTGCTTTTATAAGTTAAAAAATGTGATCACCATGACCCTCTACTTGGATGTGACAACCCTCCATTTTATAAAATAATTACCGTTGAATCAAAATTTTTGCTCAACGTATGCTATCCAGTTACCTGTCAAAGCCAACTGAATGAATGATGAAAAGGTTCAGATCAAAAGCAACTGGCTTAACTTCACGGAGGTTTTCATGCTTTAATTTAAAATGTGTCTATGTCTAACTGATTATCTCTCACATTTTATAAAGAAATATTGACGTTCTGTAAAGTATGTAGTGACCTCACTTCTGGCTGTGTGGGCAGGTTTCACTGCAGGCCTCTGAAGCATTGATATTCCTGTAACCTTTGAGGCAAGATGTGTGTGTAGTGTATTAATGAGCTGATTGAAGTGATGTACAGTAATTTCATCCTTGGGTAAAAACAGATGTGAAAGATTCTGTTTTAATATTTAATCAGCCTC
Organism: Homo sapiens; assembly: GCF_000001405.40. NCBI lineage: Eukaryota > Metazoa > Chordata > Mammalia > Primates > Hominidae > Homo > Homo sapiens. The sequence continues at coordinate 106,213 of NW_009646202.1, forward strand.
CAAGCCTCTGTTGGCTTGTTTAAGTTGACCTGACAGCATTATACCTGGAAACACTTTGAATTAAACTCTGAGTGCTTGACCTTGTTCAAACAGTTGTAATTTAATAAGGCTGCTGTCTTGGTGGAGATAGTGTCGCTAATAGGCAAATCCTCTTCTGACTGGGATTGTTCTGTTTGTGAGTGCTGGGGTTGGAGAGATTCAGAGATTCTCATCAGTTTGTGGGGAGGAACTGGGATTTGAAGAAGTAAAAACAAATCTAAATTAAGAAAGTGTCTTTTAGAAGATCTTTAAAAACTTTTATTTTAATTTTTAGACATATAGAAGTAATGTTTTTAATGTCATTTTGATTAGGCTCATTTTGGTTGAAAGGAATGGAAAATCATTTGTTAAAAAGAGAGCTGGAAACTTGTCAGAAATCAAAGAAGTGCTAGGAGGACTGCATACTCACTCTGGCTCTCCTTGTCCTCCTGTCCACCCATCCCTCCACCCACCCATCCGTCCCTGCTTTTCTCTGTCTCTGTCTTGGGCGTCCTCTGCACGATAGCCTGTCTGCTCTCTCCTTTCTTCTGTTGGCTCCCTCAATCTCTGTTTCGTGTACTTCTCTCTAGCCCATAGCTCCTCTTTACTAATCATTTCTGTTCTCTCATGCCATCAGTTTGCAGGGGCTCTTGGTAGTTTCAGCTCTCTTGTATCCTTTCAGCTCTAAGTCTTGCTGTCAACAAGTTTGTTTCCTTGTTCACGTTCCAGTTAGCTGGGTCTGAATGGCTCTCCTGATCTTTTTTGTGCCATATCCAAATTGCCCATGCTTTCCAAAGCAGGGGGAGCTGTGGACAAGACAGTTTTTGGCTTGAAGGAAAGATTAGTTGGGGCAAATACCATGATTTGCCCAATATAAATGCGTGTAGATATATATTTTCTGGTTCTAAGAGTACCATATGCTTACTGGGGAAAAATGAGAAAATTTAAAAAACTAATAAAAATACAGTTAAAATCTCCTGTAAACCGACTATTCAAATAGCTAAACTACTTTGGTGTATTTCCTCTGATTTTTTTTGCTTGTTTATACATAAACATAATATACACAGTAAACATCCCAAAATTTTAGAATCATAGTGGTAACATTTTAAAGATCTTCATATCTACTTGTTACCAGTGGCATCTGTAGGAATACTCTGGCTGTCAGGCCTACGTTAAAAACTGTGGTAATTTGGTGTGAATCTTTTATTAATTCTTTCCTTTTGACTAATATTAAGTGTGGCATCATTAATCATGTTATATTATCTTCACTTTGGCTTGCATTACTTATCAACTCCTTTGAGAAGAGTTAATATTATTTTCATATTTCACAGTACTTGACATATTGTCTCATACTTAGTAGATGTTCAGTATTTGGTCTATAGTTTCTGCTTAATTTTTATGAAACTTGATTTCTGTGAGTGGGCAAAATACATTCATAAGGTTCCAGCTCAGAAGAAGGAAAAAGTAACAATGTATAGCACTAAGAATATTGGAAAACAACGGGGAAATATGCTAATTGCTTTTAAACGAACAGGGATTTTGGCAGTATTGTGGTATATGAAGGGTCTCCTGTAGGAAGCTGACTGGCTCTTCTCTTTTAGGAGCCCTCCCAGGGTGGCATTCATTACCTTGTCGGATTGCCATGGTCCAGTGTGGGTAGCAGAATCCTGAGAGACCCCCAGTGACCCTGCCCTTTGTATTATATCTTCCCCTTTGAGTATAGGTGGAACCTATGCATGTTTGAGATATCACCCATGATTCTACTACCTTGCTTGGCAGAGGGAGACTATCCAGGTGGGCTGATCTAATCACACAAGCCCCTTAGAAACCATATTCTCCAGCAGGTGGGAAGAAAGAGTGATCTGAAGCATGAATAGGATTTGATGTTGACTGCGAAGATGAAAGGGACCATGTGCCAAGCAATGTGGGTAGCTTCTAGAAACTGAGCATGGTCCCCAGCTGGCAGCCAGCAAAGAAACAGGGACCTCAGTCCTACAACCGCTAGGAACCGAATTATTCTAACAACCTAAACGAGCTTGGAGGTGAATTTTTCCTAAGAGCTCATGGATAAGAGCAGAGTCTGGCTGACACCTTGATTTTGGCTCTGTGAGACCCTAAGCAGAGAACCCAGCTGAGCCTGACTGGATTTCTGACCCACTCAGCTGTGAGCTCATGAATGGGTGTTGTTTTAAGCCACTGTTTGTGGCAGTAAGACTAATATAGTCCAGGGTCTGGCTAATTCTTAGCTTTGTCAGATTTTAACTTGATTTTCTGTGGATATCAAGGGTGGAGCTGTCTCTCAGGGGTAGACTTACAGGAGCCTAGCTGAAGAAACTGGTGTATGGAATCAGGAGGCCAGCATATTTATTTGTTTATTTACCTGAAAAGTAAATGTTCCAGGGACTGAGATACTCCATGTGGATGGTCAGTACATTATCTCCCTTAAGGCAGACCTGTGTAGGAGGCCAGGTGTGTATTAGTGAGCATGGCATCCAAACCATGAGTTAGATGAGCACAGTTTCCATGGCATCAAACACCTGTCTCACAACAAGGATGGCCTTCTCTATGTCTGGACAATGTTTAGATGGGTACTGCCAGCTTCTCTGGAGACTCACTGTATTAGTTTTCAATTACAGTGTAACACATAACCACAAGTTAGCAGCTTAAAACAATGAAAGTATATTATCTCACAGTTTCTATGAGTCCAGGCACAGGTAACTGGGTCCCCTGCTCAAGGACTCACCAGGCTGAAATCAAAATGTCAGCAGGGATGTGGTCTCATAAGCTCACTGGTTGTTGGTGGAATTCAGTGCCTTATGGTTGTAAGACTGAGGTCCTCTTCTCCCAGAGGCTGCCCTGCCACATGGCCCTCTCTACAATGTAGCATTTTGCTTCTTCAAGGTCAGCTGGAAAATCTCCCACACACTTTTGGTCTTTACAATCTCTGACCCCCTTTAAAAGCCTAGCCCTGTGTATGCTCATAGGGAGAGATTGTACAGGGGCCCAAATCTTGAGGGCATTGTAAAATTCTGCTCCCACACTTGCTTTCCCCTCAGCATCCCTTGATGACTGGCCAGCTTTCTGTTTGACACCTCCTTTCTTTAGCTGTGTTAATATATCCAGTCTTTGGGAGTCCAGGCTTGGTTGGATATTTCACATCTCTGAAGTGACTACATAGTTCTTCTCACATTCAGTATGTATTGATTTTTAAAATTTAAATTTGTGAACTTAATCACACCTTTATTTCTGTGATCCTCCCCCCTTTAGTAACTGGGGAATGGGATGAGGAGGAATTTCTTCATCTTAGTTTCAGAAGTCTTCACAGCAGTGGCCTCTATTTGTAGTTTGATGGTCTAAGGAGTTTAGATTGTTAGAGAACTTCTACCTTCACTAGAATTTTGAAGACGTAACTTAAAATTACACTTACTAGATGTAGAAACTGGGGAGACAAAATGAGTTATTTGCACAGTTAAATTATTAGCTAGTGAAGAAGGGTTTTTATTTCTTATTTATATCCTGCCTTCTCTCAATATGATGATGTCCAGTAAAAGGCATAGATAGTCTAAAAGTGAAGCAATTAAAAATTTTTCTATTATGGGAATTTGACAGTACAAAAAAACACAGATGTCCTTGCCCATTAAAGTGAACACCAAGGAGTCCAAAATATTTTCATGAGGTAGTTTTTTGCCATTGCCTGTCAGTTGTGAGAGATCATTGCCTCAGGCCACAGCGACTAGGTGTGTGGCAGAGTTAACCTGCCTGCTCTCTAGGGAAACCGTCAAGAAATGGGCAATAAATTAATAAGTAGAAAGTGTTCTCTGAGCTCCAGGCAGTTGTTGATTGACTGATGGAAAAGGTAGGCGGTAGGCTAATAGACGATGACATCCAAATTCAGCTGTTGCCTCTCAGCTGAACCCAACCCTGGGCTTCTGCTGCCTTTTGCTCCTTTTCCCTGAGTGGTGGTGGCCTGCAGGTTAAACAGGTGGGCTTGGGAATTGGGCTGCCTAGGGTAAATCCTCATTCCCCCATTTAACTCAGTCTGCCAGACTCTGTTTTCTTGTCTGTAAAATGAGGGTTAAAAGAGAGTCTCTGTAAAGCATTTAATACGTTGTTGGGCACTAGCGGTGGATTAAGGAGAAGAGGGCTGTGATGGGAGCTGTCAGCCCCAGCAGGCAGGAGTTAGAATTGTCTGGAATTGCCGGTGTAGGGTGATAATAAAAAGCAAACTGACTCTTGGTCGGTTTATTACTATTTTTAAATTCCCTACTGACAAGGCCCTCCCTATTGCCTGCACTCTGAGTGGACCACTCCTTCCATCCATGCCTTGCAATGCCACTGTCTTGCACATAAGGGCTCAAAAGTGTATGCTGTTGTTGCCCTTCTCACATTTCGGCTGAGGTGTATATTTTCATTAAAGAGGATTATGTAGAAAAATTGGTTTAATAAAAATGATGAGACTTTTTAATATGGTTTGTACACCATTAAGAGTGAAATATGGCAAAATCTGGTCTGAAAAATAGGAAAAAATATAGCAATAACTGATTAATAGAAAACCATAGGATTGGCTGGGCACAGTATCTCACACCTGAAATCCCAGCACTTTGGGAGGCCGAGGCAGGTGGATCACCTGAGGTCAGGAGTTCGAGACCAGCCTGACCAACATGGTAAAACCCCGTCTCCACTAAAAATACAAAAACTAGCTGGACGTGGTGGTGCACTCCTGTAATCCCAGCTACTCAGGAGGCTGAGGCAGGATAATTGCTTGAACTCAGGAGGCAAAGGTTGTGGTGAGCCAAGATCGTGCCACTGCACTCCAGCCTGGGTGATAGGGACTCCACCTCAAAAAAAAAATCTTTTTTTTCCCTTTTTATATTTTTGTCTGGATCCTAAATATTGGGACATTTGAAAGATGTGCATATTTAGTTTAAGCAAATTCTGGTGGATTTGGTTGGTTCTCTCTGTAGTAAGAGTAGAGAAGAATGGTAGATGTGAAAAGAATATATTCTGAAAAGAATATGGGATAAGAGAAAATCAAGAAGGCAAGAAAATAATCATTTCCACCCTTTTATCTACTTTGAAATCACCACTTTTCTTACTTTGGTCTTCTGTTTCCTCTATAAACTATGCTTAAGAGACCAGAGTGAGCAGACTTCTTCGTGAAAACCTGAGCTTGGGAGTTGGGATGGTTTACAGTCTTGGCTTCAGTCCACTTTTCTGACTTAACACCCAGACCCCTTTCCGGCTAAATTTATTGTCTCCTGTTCCTGCTGGGCCTTTCTGGAGCGTCCGCCTCTGGAGTGCCCTCTGCTCTTGAGGTCCCAAACTGCCCATCCCACACCTACCTGGTCACAGCTTTGCAGTTTAAGTCCCCACATGCCAGTGACTGCTTCCTTTCTGGACCCCTTTACTGCATTTCAGCAGTGCTGTCAATCCTTCCTTTAAATTTATGTCACTGGTTTGTAGGGCTCATTCTTCCAGCCTGCAGACGTCAGTTGAGATTCCACTGTGATCAAAGCAGGATATTTAAGTTCTGCAGCGGGTGGGCTGCAAGTGGTAGAAATAGTTATTTTCTTGCCTTCCTGAATTTCTCTTGTTCCATTCTCTTTTCAGGATACATTCCTTTCACTACAGAGAGTTGTCTGCTCTCACTACAAACAGAACCAGCCAAACCCACCACGATTTGCTTAGACATAATGGGCAAGAACTTTCAGAACATTTGGAACTTTTCAGAACATTGGGTGGTCTTAGAGACTAGCCAGTACAGAAATCTCTTGAGAGGGTGTTACTGTGTTCCTTCTGGACACCTCCAGTTTCTGATTTGGCTGTCCTGTTTGTCAGCAGTACATCCTTCATATTGAGCCCAAAACCTCCATTCATTCTGGTGTTCTTCAGTGCAGTCACACTGCTTCGTGATGGCTTTTCTTCAGTGCAGTCATTTGCTTCATGTGACTTTTCTTTTTTCTTTTTCTTTTTCTTTTTCTTTTTTTCTGAGGCAGAGTTTCACTGTTGTTGCCCAGGCTGGAGTGCAATGGCATGGTCTCGGCTCACTGCAACCTCCTCTGCCTCCTGGGTTCAAGCAATTCTCCTACCTCAGCTTCCCAAGTAGCTGGGATTACAAGTGCCCACCACTATGCCCGCCTAATTTTTGTATTTTTAGTAGAGACAGGGTTTCACAATGTTGGCCAGGCTGGTCTCAAACTCTTGACCTCAGGTGATGCATCTGTCTTGGCCTCCCAAAGTGCTGGGATTACAGGCGTGAGCCACTGCACCCAGCCATGATGGCTTTTCCAATGCAAAACATTGCAATAGTTATTCCTTTGAACCTTATAAAATTACTGATTGTTATGTTTTGAATATTTGTCCCCTCCAAAACTTACATTGAAATGTAATCCCCAATGTGGCAGTATTGAGAGGTGGAGTCTTTAAGAGGTGATTGGATCACCAGGGCTTTGCCTTCATGAATGGACTAATCCATTCATGGATTACTAGATTAATGAGTTAATTCATGAATTAATGGACTGATGGGTTATCATGGGAGTGGACCTGGTGGCTTTATAAGAAGAGTATGAGAGACCTGAACCAGCACATTCAGCTTCTTGCCATGTGATGCCCTGCACTACCATGAGATTCTGCAGATTCTTCCCCACCAGTGGGAAGGTCCCACCAGATGTGAGGCCCCTCGAACTTGGACTTCTCAGTCTTCATAACTATAAGAAATAAGTTCCTGGCCAGGCACAGTGGCTCATGCCTGTAATCGCGGCACTTTGGGAGGCCGAGGCGGGCAGATCACGAGGTCAAGAGATTGAAACCATCCTGGCCAAAGTGGTGAAACTCCATCTCTACTGAAAATGCAAAAATTAGCTGGGCATGGTGCTGCGTGCCTGTAGTCCCAGCTACTCGGGAGGCTGATGCAGAATCGCTTGAACCTGGGAGGCGGAGGTTGCAGTGAGCCGAAATTGCACTCCAGCCTGGGCAACAGAGCCAGACCCCGTCTCAAAAAAAAAAAAAAAAAAGAAAGAGAAATAAACTCCTTTTCTTTATAAGTTGCCTAGTTTCAGGCATTCTGTTATAAGCAATAGAAAATGAACTAAGACACTGATATTCAATTGTTTTAGCCTATAAAAATGGGAATTTTATGTGGGTCAACCTAGTATATTCCCCCTGATTCTCTGCTTTTCCAGCTCATATACTTTTGTAGTTTAGATAACCTCCTGTCAGTTAAATCATGATATAAGTTCTTCGTTCCTTTTTTTTCCTTTATAGTTTAAAAATTATTTTATGTGTATCTTTCCTCTGGTAGCCCCCTGAGACTTGCTTACTGCAAGCCCACATGCTGCCTTGACTCCTTTTCCCTGAATCAACTGTGAATTGTTCCGCAGCTTCTCTCCTTTTTGGTCTCTGAACCAAGGTTTCTTAATTAGAGTATCCACAAGTCTATATGTGAAGAGGTTGAGGGAAAAGTAACCACTGGGGACATGAGAAATCTGAAAAGTAATAGTTAGAAATGGCCATCTTAGCCTTATTAAAATGTAAGTAAGGCCGTGTATGGTGGCTCACACCTGTAATCCCAGCACGAGAGGCCAAGGTGGGCAGATCACCTTAGGTCAGGAGTTCGAGACTAGCCTTGCCACAATGGCGAAACCCCATCTCTACTAAAAATACAAAAATTAGCTGGGCGTGGTGGCATTTGCCTGTAATCCCAGCTACTTGGGAGGCTGAGGCAGGAGACTCGCTTGAACCTGGGAGGTGAAGGTTGCAGTGAGCTGAGATCGCATCATTGTACTCCAGCCTGGGAGACAGAGCAAGACAACATCTCTAAATAAATAAATAAATATAATGTAAGGCAAGGCCTTTTCCCTTATATCTATTTTAGGGTTTACCCTTGTGTATACAGAAAAATTGTTCCCTGTCCAGCTTATTATGGGCTGGATAGCAGGCAGAACTCCTCAGTTTGGGTTAGCATTGCATTAACAGAACTGCCACATCTTTCTGGATAATCTTCCTTTGTGCATAAGCTCCAGGCTCACCTTCTCTGCCTCACAGCTGTGCGCTGGTTTCCCTTAGCTTTCTTGGGTTCTGGATGGATACTGGCCTTCTGGGTGAGAAGGGGGTTCTTTGGCAAAAGGTGTTTTTGACATAATTTAGGACCTTCTTAAGTTCTACAGCAGACCTAAATTTCTTCCCCCAAGTTCTTTGTCTATATAGAGTACTCAGCACTCATTACCCATTCTCAGTTCTGAAGGAAATCTTATGGAGCAGTTGTAGTATTTATAGGGTAAGCAGAGTGCCCAGTTTCCATGCCCCACCCCAAACCATTTAGATTTCAGTCATGTATGTCAAGGGAGGAGTGAGTACATTTTTGTGGTCAGCTGCCTCTTCTTTTCCCTAACATTCTCACTTTTTCATCTTTCCTGCTTTCTTGAGGTCATTTATCTATTGAATAGGATGTCTATTGAAAGGAAAAACCTCCCCTAATCGCCTTTAAACTAATATTTCTTACTGGGCATGGTGGATCACCTGAGGTTGACAGTTTGAGACCAGCCTGGCCAACATGGAGAAGCCCCATCTCTACTAAAAAAAAAAAAAAAAAAATATTAGCCAGGCGTGGTGGCGCATGCCTGTAATCCCAGCTATTTGGGAGGCTAAGGCAGGAGAGTCGCTTGAACCCAGGAGGCGGAGGTTGCGGTGAGCCAAGATCGTGCCATTGCCCTCCAGCCTGGGCAACAAGAGCGAAACTCCATCTCAAAAAATAACTAAACTAATATTTCTCTTTTCTCAATAATAATGGCATGAAAAGAATTTTTTCTGTGCCTTTTCAAAATCCCAATACCCCCTCGTGGCATTTCCTATGTTGAAGTTTTCAACAGCCTTATCAGGAGGAGAAATGAGCTTAATTTTTGAGTTTTAGTGCTTAGGGACTCTGTCTTGGCTTCTAGAGATAACTTCACTGTGGGCACCCACAAATAATATGTTTAATTTTTTTTCTAAACCTTTTGCTGATGGTCATTGCAATATTTTCTTGATTTTAATTTCCTGAGTTTTCTTCTTTCACATTTTTTCTTTTTTTTTTGGTGATATTTTTCCATATTCCATTATCTGCATCCTTCTCACTCTCCCTGATTTTTCAAACATCATGGACTACAGATCTGCAACCTCCCTGGTAATTCCTCTTGGGTTTGAGAGGAAGTTTGTCAAGTACTGGAAACTTGAACTTGTATAAAACAGATGTCACCACTCATTTTAATGGAAGAAGGCATGGAGTAAATACAGATAGCACATAACAGCTATATGCATTCTCTTAAATTTCTTTCCCGATCTTGGGCTTGAGGTATTTTTATCTAATCTAGTCTACCCTTGCCATTTTCAAGATCTTTTTCTTTGATACTTGATAGAGAAGTGTCTTCTGTATTTTTCTTCCTTCTTGGAAGAATATATTTTAAAAAATGTATTTTGAGATTGAGTATTTTGTGAAACATCTTTCCTCTAAAATCCTCAAAGTAACTTTGCCTCTCTTTGATTTCTATGGGTAGTCCAGCGGAGAGTGATACACATAAGGATATTTCATAAACACTGCTTGCATTCCTCTGGGATTTGTGCTCCTAGATGACAGCATATATATGCATGTGATTCTGTGTGTGTAAACATGCTTTAAAAAATTTATTGAACATAGTTTTCAGCTGTCTTCACTCACTTTAAACCTTAGTCTACTTTCTTTTTCTTTTTTTTTTTTTTTTGAGACTAAGTATTGCTCTGTAGCCCAGGCTGGAGTGCAGTGGCGCAGTCTCAACTCACTGCAACCTCCTCCAGGTTCAAACGATTCTCCTGCCTCAGCTTCCTGAGTAGCTGGGATTATAGTTGCCCACCACCATGCCTGGCTAATTTTTTGTATTTTTAGTAGAGACAGGGTTTCACCATGTTGGCCAGGCTGGTCTCAAACTCCTGACCTCAAGTGATCCGCCTGCTTCAGCCTCCCAAAGTGCTGGGATTACAGGTGTGAGCCACTGTGCCCAGCCTTTAGTCTACTTTCTGTTTTTACAATTCCATGCCATGTTTATTGAAAGCATGTTGTTGGTTTCTTTTGATGCCTCCCCTGTCTTTCTTCTCATCATGATTTTAAAAATTAATACTTTGTAATATTTGAGATTTTTATATCTATGTCAAGTTAACTTTTCCTGAAAAATATTTTGATACATTTTCTAGAATGTTAGTGTATTGTGTTTATAACATGGGGGAAAATGTACTGTTTCATTTTTAAATTTATTTTTATTTATTTTTGTTATTATTATTTTTTAAGAAACAGGGTCTTGCTCTGTTGCTCAGGCTGGAGAGCAGTGGCATGATCCTGGACTCAAACAATCTTCCCACCTCAGCTTTCTGAGTAGCTAGGACTACATGCGTATGCCACCATGCCCACCTAATTTTTAATTTTTTTGTAGAGACAGAGTTTTACTATATTGTCCAGACTGGTTTTGACCTCCTGGGCTCAAGGGATCTTCCCACCTTGGCCTCCTAAAGTGTTAGGATTATAGGTGTGAGTTATCACAGCCAGGTGCAATAAGTGTTTATGATTAATTTAAAAGCAGATGCTGTGCTTTTCAAAAATTATGCTCAATTTTTTTTTTAATATTACAAAGGACTTTTAGACTGGCTTCCTCCTAAACATTTCTTCAACTCCTATCAAGTTCAGTCTGCAAATATCCTAATTTCTAGGTTGTTTGGGAATGTTAATTGATTGTCTCATGTATGTATGTATGTATGTATGTATGGATAGACAGATAGATGAAGGTTGAAGGATGGATGGATAGATTAAATGGATGGATGGATAGATAGATAGATAGATAGATAGATAGATAGATAGAAAGATAGATGAAGGTTGAAGGGTAGGGCTGGAGGAGGAATTCCAGCTTTCCAGTAGATTTTCTATCAAGCAGTCATTCATATATATAACTTCCTATATTGTTAGCCAAAGTTCATCCATGTCTCTTGTATTTAGCTCTCTGTCTGTATTGTAGAAAGCTTATTTATTATGTGAGCATTTTGCTTTCTCCTATCCCTCCCTCTTTCTTTAACATCAGTTATAACAGCTGTGAATACAGTTTATAATATGAGCAGCCATATTCAGTTTTTAGGCTTTCAAAATCACAAATACAAAGGAGGATATAATACATAGTCCTATATTTTATACAAATTGGGACACTTTTCTTCATTTCTTATTTCGTGGCATTGCCTAACTATAGTCAAGCTAATGACCCATGTAGATGTAGTGTTGTACCTGGTGTCCGTGTCCCTGTGAATGTGTCATGTTGTGCTGGCCTGATTCCCCAACATCAGCCCCAGGGAGCCAGCAGCTGGAGCAGCTGTCATCTTGTGAAAGCAGAGTGTCCTTGTTGCTATTGATTGGGTTGTTCAGTCAATTGCAAAAAAGTGGATCTAACTGTCAATGGTAGTTATATGATAATCCTGGAGATAAATAAGTGTCAAGTGAAGTATTACTTGAATTTAGGACTTGAAGAGAGAGAAAGGGGTATGAGTAGTTGGAGGGGAAGATTTGCTATGACAAGCTATTATTCAGTGTGGTTATTTTGTATGACAGGTAAGTCTACAGGTATCTTTTGTTAGATAAATCAGAAATTAAGCATTCCCTTTGTAAACTCCAAACAAGATTTTGAAACACCATGGTCCCCCCTTATCCACCTCCAAGATCTCCAGTGGATGTCTGAAACCACTGATAGTACTGAAGTCTCTATATATTATGTTTTTCCCCTGTATGTAATACATACCTGTGATAAAGTTTAATTTATAAATTAGGCACAGGAAGAAATTAACAAAAATAAGTAAGAATAGAACAGTTATAACTATATGTTCTATTAAAAGTTATGTGAATTTGTTTTCTCTCTCTCTCAAAATATCCTGTTGTGCTGTGTGTTCACCCATTTTTGAGCTGCCGTTGACTGTGGATAACAAACCACAGAAAGTGAAACTTCACATAAAGGGGGACTACTGTATTCTCATAATGTTAATTGCTTCTAGAATTCACAAGGATTGAATTCAACTTGAATCTTGCTAAAGAAGTACTTTATTATTCGATGTTAGTCCAGCAACAACTTATAGTGTAGAAATTTGCCCTTTTGAGGGTGAATACACAAAGGGGAAAGAAAACTTGTGTGCCCACGGTCCACTAACAGATAAGCTTCTGGAGGCCAGGAGTAAACCGCCCTGCAGGGGAGCCATCTCCCAGGGTTTCCCCAGCAGAGAGCTGTGCCCAGTGCCGGGGTCTCATGCTTACCTATTTCTCTGTGCCAGTATAGTAGACCTGTTTTCAAGCCTAGCATGAGCCTTAAGTATTACTGGCTGGGAGTGGTGGCTCATGCCTGTAATCCTAGCACTTTGGGAGGGTGAGGCAGGCGGATTGCCTGAGCTCAGGAGTTTGAGACCAGCCTGGGCAACATGGTGAAACCCTGTCTCTACTAAAATACAAAAAATTAGCCGGGCGTGGTGGCGGGCACCTGTAGTCCCAGCTACTTGGGAGGCTGAGGTAGGAGAATTGCTTGAACCCAGGAGGCAGACATTGCAGTGGGCTGAGATCACGCCAGTGCACTCCAGCCTGGGTGACAGAGCGAGACTCTGTCTCCCACAAAAAAAAGAAAAAAAAAAAAAGTATTACTTATTTAGTAAGTCCATAGCATTTTGTTCACACAGTGTATCATTGTGCTTTTCTGTTTCAAAGTGTAATTATTTAATCTAGAAATTTTAAGTCCTGTGACAGAAAACAAATGCTGTTCTCACAAAATATGAGAAATCAAATTCCATCTTATTATTTAAATTAATTCTTTTTTAACTGAAGAATTGTTATGTGGGTAGCTTTCAACATAATTTTTTCAATATTAGATGCTTATAACTAATGTGGATTTAGTTAATTCGATGTTTATCACATTTAATTCTTATTTACTACAAAGGTTAAAGCAATTTTATTTCTTCTGGAAACTTTTAGGATCTTGTGAGTGAGGGACGTCAGCCAAAATTGGCAACTTTTTCAAGCAACTGGCTCAAGAAATTAGGAATTTCTCTAATAATGAGCCATCGTTTTTTGAATTCAACAATTTAAAAGGGCTGCATAGTTAGGATATGATTCCAGTTTCCCCTCAGTGCAAATTGATATTTTTTTCTGTTGACACATTCTACTTTGTTTTCGAAGACTAGTTTATAGTGTTCTTTTAAAAGCAAAGAAAATATCTTTAAAAATCCCAGCTTTTTGGCTGGGTGCGGTGGCTTCATGCCTGTGATCCTAGCACTTTGGGAGGCTGGGGTGGGAGGATCACTGGAGGCCAGGAGTTTGAGACCAGTCTGGGCAACACAGGCACTCCATCTCTTTAAAATAAAAAATAAAAAAATAAAAATAGCCAGGCTTGGTGGCCCACACTTGTAGTCCCAGCTACTCGGGATGCTGAGGCAGGAGGATTGCTGGAGCTCAGGGATTCAAGGTTGTAGTGAGCTATGATTGAGCCACTGCACTTTAGCTTGGGCAATGGAGCAAAACCTTGTTTCCTTTAAAAAAAAAATTTATTAAAACATGCTCTTACTTTGGCAAAAATATATGTTTCTTCATAGTGATGATAATCATAATGATACATTATTACTATATGCAGCTTATAAGAATCAGTTGTCTAATGTATCCGTGTAAGTTTCTCTGTGGTTTTAAGAATCATTCCATAGGCTGATAAATGCATACTCTCTTCACCCCATTGCACATCCAGCATTCTGAATTTTTCTCACTTCCTTGAATATGCCATGTTCCATGCACTTGTAGATCTTCCATCACAGAAGGTGCCTCATCTGTCCAGAACCCCTGCCATACCTCTGCTCCCTTTGTCTAGCTAACGCTCACTCATCCTTTAGATCCCAGTGAAATGTCACTTGCATCTGGGAGGACTTTCTGACTAGGTTCTGAGCTTCCTTTGCATTCTGTTTTTCATTGACATAATGACATCACATTTATTAGTATTGTCTCATTGTAAACCCCAGTAAGGCAGGAACTGTATCTCTCTGTATCCCCAACACTACCACAGTGCCTGGTGCATGTTAAATTGCAGTTAATATTTCTAGAATGAAAGAGTGCTTCCATCCTTCATCATCCGTCTTTCAGATAAAGAAGTATCTAGTTACCTTTGTCTTAAATTAAAACAATTTCAAAAGGTTGCATGTGCTGGTGGACCAGTTGAAATCCACAGCTCCCATATTGCTGCTCATTGCCACTGTTATTGATGCCCTGGAGATGATTTAAAATTCAGTTATGTTGCTTGTGATGGTGGTATTTAAAAATCTATAATTTTGGCTGGGCGTGGTGGCTCATACCTATAATCCCAGCTCTTTGGGAGGCCAAGGCAGGTGGATCACAAGGTCAGGAGTTTGAGAATAGCCTGGCCAACAGAGAAACCCCGCCTCTACTAATAATACAAAAATTAGCCGGTCGTGGTGGTGTGCACCTGCAATCCCAGCTACTCAGGAGGCTGAGGCAGGAGAATTGCTTGAACCCGGAGGCGGAGGTTGCAGTGAGCTGAGATTGTGACACTGCACTCCAGCCTGGGCGATAGAGCAAGACTCTATCTTGAAGAAAATAAAAAATAAATAAATAAAATCTATAATTTTTATACTCATGTGCTATTATAGTGACCCTGTGAGACATCATAATGCCTTAATGATAGCTTGTCTTGTTTTTACTTTCACTTACATCTATAGTTCCAAATGTTTTATTGAATTGTGCTTTATTTGATAATTCATAGTTGTAAACTGACCTCATCCCATATTTGTATTTTTACAATCTCAACAGTTTTATCAGGGACATATTTTTATATTCTGTAGCATAATACAGTGCCTTCTGTAGAGCTTAGTTTCATGTGCAGTGATGTGTCAGAATGAAATATCTGCCCAGTGGTATTGAATTTCATGTATTATGATTTACATATTCTTCTGTGTATCAACTGGTTTTATATTACCCAGAGAATGCTTATGGTGGTGGTTGAGAGTTGTGTATTGCTATTGACTGTACGGGCCATAGACATATTTGTAGGTATATTAAATTTGCTTTGTACTTCTCACACAATTGATTTGGTGGGCATTCTTCTTAATTATACTTGATGGGTGCATACATAAATTCATTCTTGGTTAAAAAAATTCAGATAGTGTAGATATGGCAGTGGTTCCTTTAATCCCTCCAATTATTTATTTACCTTATATATCTGGGAACTTTGTATAAAAACTAAACACTGGCCTGGCACGGTGGCTCATGCCTGTCATCCCAGCTCTTTGGGAGGCCCAGGCGGGTGGATGTCTTGAGCTCAGGAGTTTGAGAACAGCCTGGGCAAAATGTGGCAAAACCCTGTCTCTACAAAAAAATACAAAAGTGACCCAAGTGTGGTGGTGCACACCTGCAGTCCCAGGTACTCGGGAGGCTGAGGTGGGAGGATTGCTTGAGCCTGGGAAGTGGAGGCTGCAGTGAACTGAGATCACACCACTGCCCTTTGGCCTGGGTGACAGGCCGAGACCCTGTCTCAAAAAACCTGAACACTTCTTTGTTATGTTTCTACAATTTGACACAATAATTCAAGTCAGCCAAGCACTTTAAAAATTATTTTGAAATAATTTTAGATTTATAGGAAAGTTGTCAAAATAGGGTAGAGTTAATTATATATAACCTTATGCAGTTTCCCTGATAACCACTTATATAACCATAGCACAGTTATAAAAAAATTATCAGGAAATTCACTGGTATAATACCATTAACTAAACTGTGGCCCTTTTTGACTTTCACCGGTTTTTCACCTCCTGTATTTTTCTCTGTTCCAGGATCCCATCCAGGATCCCACATTACCTTCAGTTGTTGTTTCTCCTTTATTTCCTGCAATCTATTAAAGATTCTAATCCTTTCTTTGTCTTTCATGACTTCAGCAAACAGTTTTAGTTGGATGCTTAGTATATACCAGTCACTGAGATTGGTGCTTGAGGGAAGGGAGATAAATGAATGGATGAGACATGGCCCTTACCTAATGAGGTGAGCCAACACATAGACAAGTAATGCTAAAACAATGTAGTGCCTTTAAAAGGCCTTTGTACTATCTCCCTAGAGAAGAGAGAGTTGCTGACTCACTGAATAACAGTGTTGAGGCAGCATTTTCAGAAGAAATGACATTGATCTGGGTCTTAAAGAATGGGGAAACTTTTCCTTGTGGAGAAATGGAGTGGAAGAGGAGTTCATCATGGACAGGCAGGGGCATTTGGCATGAAAGTGTGAAAGACTGGCTTGTTTGCAGACTGGCAAATCACTTGATAGGAATGGAGCATAGGGTATGTGAAGAACACAGTGAGGCATGAAACTAGAAGAGTAGTTACAAAGCTACCTTTTTTCATTACTTTTTATTAATAAATATATCCTCATATTTGTAGGGTAAGTTTTGGCTTAAATTTTTTTTAAATCTCATTATTCATACTTAATGAGCATTTAATTGTAATCAGTGTTTCTAGTTTTAAACTGCACAACATTAAGATTGTTACTGTACTTTTGGAAAGAAAAAGAGAACAAATAATTATGCTTAGCTGTTGCAATAGCATCTAATAGCATTTAAATTCTGTTAATAAAGAATATGAATTTATTCTGTAATGCCTATTGGGCACCTATTATATGGCAGGCACTGTTTGAGGTGAGAGAGATATAGCAGCAAAGAAAAGAGAAAAACTCCTGCTCTTGTTCTAATATATTCTAGTGGTCCTAGTTGCAATATGTTTGAACTAACATGGTAGTTCAGTCAACAAGTCAAATGTTAACTGCCTAGCATGTTATCTAGATGCTCAGCAGATTTTTAAAAAATGAATAGATATATGACTGGGTCTTGAAGGAGTAAAAGAATTTCAGGCTGGGCACGGTGGCTCATGCCTGTAATCACAGCACTTTGGGAGACCAAGGCAGGCGGATAACCTAAGGTCAGGAGTTCAGGACCAGCCTGGCCCAACATGGTGAAACCTTGTCTTTTCAAAAAATACAAAAATTAGCCAGGTGTGGTGGTGGGCCCTTGTAATCCCAGCTACTTGGGAGGCTGAGGCAGGAAAATTGCTTGAACCCGGGAGGCAGAGGTTGCAGTGAGCTGAGATTGTGCTGTTGCACTCCAACCTGGGTGACAAGAGTGAAACTCCATCTCAAAAAAGAAAAGAATTTCATTGAGTAGAGGTTTGCTGGCATGAGTAATTTTTGTTTATTTCATATGCATTCTTGGAGATTATTCTTAGGTAGTTAGAACACATTGAAGATATTATTTCATTGTCTTTTGACTTCAATTGTCAATCTCAGGTAATTGTCTTTTCCCTGGCTGTCTTTAAAAATATTTTCTCTGGGCCGTGCATGGTGGCTCACGCTTGTAATCCTAGCACTTTGGGAGGCTGAGGCAGGTGGATCACCAGAGGTCAGGAGTTCAAGACCAGCCTGGACAACATAGCAAAACCCCATCTCTACTAAAAATATATTAAAAAAATGGGCCAGGCGTGGTGGCAGGTGCCTGTAATCCCAGCTACTTGGGAGGCTAAAGCAGGAGAATTACCTGAACCTGGGGCATGGAGGTTGCAGTGAGCCAAGATCGCACCACTTCACTCCAGCCTGGGCAAAAGAGCAAAACTCCATATCTATCTATCTATATATATATATTTTTTTCCTCTGGTTCTTATTTTTGAAGTTTTTGTACAATATATCAAGATACAGATTTATTTTTATTTATTCTGCTAGGTATCTGAGGATTGGTATTTTAGTTCAGGAAAATTCGCAGCCATTATTTCTTCACATACTGTTTGTGCTTCATCCTCTTTTTTTGTTTGTTTTTTTGAGATGAAGTCTTGCTCTGTCATCCAGGCTGGAGTGCAGTGGCGTGATCATGGCTCCACTGCAACCTCTGCCTCCTGGGTTCAAGCTATCCTCCCACCTCAGCCTCCCGAGCAGCTGGGATTACAGGTGTGCTCCACCACGCCCTGCTAATTTTTAAATTTTTTTAGTAGAGATGGGATTTCATCATGTTGGCCAGGCTGGTCTTGAACTCCTGATCTCAGGCGATCCGCCCACCTAGGCCTCCCAAAGTGCTGGGATTAACAGGCATGAGCCACCATACCCAGCCTGCTTCATCCTCTTTTAATCTCATTTTCAGTCTCCAATTAAACATATGTTAAAATTTCTCACTGTATGCTCTATGCCTTTACCCTCTTTTGTGTTTTTCTTCTTTTTCTGAGCTGTACTCAGTTTACTGATTCTCTCTTCAACTATATCTAATCTGTCATTAGTTATAGAATTTTTATTTAGTTATCAAATTTGTCATCTTTTATAGTTTATAGTTCCCTGTTAAAACCATTTAGTTTGGTTTTTATCTCTTTGAATATAGTTAATGTCATTGTTTTTAAATCTTTACCTGTATTTTCAATATCTGAAGTTCCTGTGGGTCTTCTTCTGTAGTTTCTTGTTTCTGCTGGTTCTGACTCATGGTGTTTGTTTTTTCCTGTGCCTGATTACATCCTGGATGTTGTTTTTGAAAAAGTATTTATAGAAATAATTTGAGGTTGAGAATTTTCATATGCTTCTGCCTTCTGCCTAGGTTGTACAGTTTAAGGCCTCCTCAAGCCAAGTTCATGATTCAGGTATTGTGAGTTGGGCTGCAAACCTGTGTGCAGGCTGGTTACTTACAGTTCACTTTCCCTCTTTGAAGCCCCATTTACAATAGGGGTTGGTATCCTTGAGACCCCACCTGCTTAGGCTCCAGATGTCACCAGAATTTCACATCAGCTTTATTTCCTGGATTGGTAAATATAACCCCATGATAAAAGTGGCTCTGAGTGTTGGGTTTACCTCTTGGACTTCCTGTCCTCACCAATTTTTGACCGAAAATTCAACCCTATGTTGTTAGCTCTTTGAATTACCTATTCTGTCCTCATTAGAAGAGTGCCTCCAGCATTTATTGCCTAAACATGACAGCTGAGTATTTTTAGTTTGATTTTTTTTTTAACATTTGCTAATAATACGTTTTCAACCAGATCATAAACTTTGTGGATAAGGTCCCTGTCTGCTATTTCTTTACCCTTCTCATATAGCATTTAATACAATGATAGGTGGATAATTGGTTCTCTTGGCCAGTTGACTGATCAAGGGGCAATTCTCCAAACTCTGGTGATTTCTCCTTTTCGTTCGTAAGACTGCTTTTATACCCCAACAAAGAAACTTGTTATAATTTAATAGTGGCTGTGTCCATTTTTCTTTTCTTCTCTGCTGTTCCATCCCAAGGTGGGATGGCCCCAATTAGACTAACCACTGAAACCCTGGGCATAAAATGGTGCCCAGGGAGCTTTTCTTCATATTAATTTGTGTGTACTCTAAAAGGAAAGATTATTTGGCTTGCTCATAAATCCAAAATTTTGGTGATGAAAATATGTTTATAATTATTTCTTTTGAGCTTGATTTGTTGTGGATTTTTTCCTTTATTTTGGTTTAAGATCAAATGGTTTCCTAATGTGTATGGGTCACTGTAGTCTAAATTTTTTTTTTTTTTTTTTTTTTTGAGATGGAGTTTTGCCCTTGTTGCCCAGGCTGGAGTTAAATGGCGAGATCTTGCCTCACTGCAACCTCCACCTCCTGGCTTCAAGTGATTCTCCTGCCTCATCCTCCTGAGTAGCTGGGATTACAGATGCCTGCCACCACGCCCAGCTAATTTTGTATTTTTAGTAGAGACAAGATTTTATCATGTTGGCCAGGCCGGTCTGGAACTCCTGACCTCAGGTGATCCGCCTGCCTTGAACTCCCAAAGTGCTGGGATTATAGGCATGAGCCACCGTGCCTGGCCTCTAAATATTTTTAAAGTATAGATGTTTTTAAACTTGTAGCTCCTGAGTGTGAACTGTCCCTTGCTGTTTTTTGGGCATCTATCAAGGCATTTGTTCTAACCACTGAGTAAGAAGGACATCACTAAGGGGGTTGTAGCTATACCTTTCTTCTTTTTATCTTTAATTAACATGCATTGACTGCCTGGTATGTTAGAAACAGACCTGCCTATTACAGTCTCATTCCCTTCCATACTCATCCTTGCTTGTGTGGCTACCTCCCAAGCTAGGACTGCAAGACCCTTATCACTCCTGCTTACTATTGGTTTTTGTGTCCTTTTGGCAATTTTCTAGTGGCTGCTTGAACTATTGGTTGTCAGATTGACCTGATTTGTTTCACTTGTAAACAAAATGCTTAAGCCACTGTTGATTTTTGTGACAGCTCAGTTGCTTAGAGCAAGGTGTTAATGAGACATCGGTCATAGGTCCAGGCTCTGGGTTGACTGGTAAGCTTTGCTCTGGCCCATGGCCACAGACCCTGACTCCCCCTTGCCAGCTGTCTTGCACATGTAGCTATGGCTCATTATGGGGACACAGCAGGGGGTGGAGATAAGACAAGGCAAATCTGTCATCTCTGCCAGAAAAGACAACTCCTACTGATAGGTCAGTAACCTTTTCATTGGAAGAACAGCACGTTAGTATTAGCTTCTGTAGATGTGTCTAACTGAGTCTTTTTCTTAAAATAACTCATGTGATTGTATGGGTTGTCTGCAGCAAGTTTAGAATACTGCTCACATTTTAAAGCATGTTTGAATATAAGGATGGCTTTTTAGTTTGTGAAGATTATTGTCCTTAATCAGGGATTCTTAATATCATTCTCTAAAGTAGAAAAGTGAGCTTTAGAAGTCAAATTTGATAAAGCTCTAGAAAACAACTGCAAAATTGCTGTTATAAAGAAACCTGTCAAATTTAGGAAGTGCCCTCCAGGAGCCCTTCATCCCAACCAATCCTCTCCTAAAAGAAAGGAAAAAAAGAAGAAAGATGGCTAGGTAGATGGAATAGTGATCAGAAAAAAAGAACTTTTCTAGAAAAGCATACCAGTGTGCTCTTTACCAGAGCATTTTAGCAGGTAATATTTTACAAAGGACCCAGCAGATAATTGGGCAGGTTTTTTCTTTAGGAACTTAGTGTTGATGGCCTGAATTAATCTGACTAGGAATTTAGACATTTCTTCATGATATATTTTGAGTCCATAGATGATCTGATTCTAATGTGACTTCAGTTTTTAACTTACATAGCGTTAAGCAAAAGGATGTGTGTGTATGTATGTGTGTTTGTTTTACATCCTAAAGGTATTACAGGCCCCATGGTAAACTTTTTGGCTCAAGTGAATCCAGAGTTTGGTATATGTAACCTCCAGTGGTGGTTCATGAACAAACACTTCATTTCTGTAGTCATATTTTTTTTTAAAGAATAAAAGTGAGCCAGGTTTAAAACTTGTTAAGAAAATAATAGCACAGGTGATACACAGATGAAGCAAAATTGCCGTGGATGGTCTGGGAATGCCTGAGGATTGAGAAACACTGGCTGAATTATACACTGTGGCAGAAGAAATTATAGGCCCTTAGAAACAGGTAGAGGTTATTGGAAAGATTCAAGCACCTAATGTTTAGTTAGAAGGTAAGTAAGCTGGTTTCTTAAGTTCTTGTTTATTTATTGGGTGTGGGCTCAGGATAAGTTAGTTTGAAATAGATCTTAGAGAAGTAAATGCAAGACAACTTTATCAATGAGTCATGGGCAAACAATTCTATTATTAGAAGTAGTATAGAAAAGGAGTAGGAGAAGTAGAAGGGAGGAAGTCTAGTATTCATTCATTTATTTATTCATTAATTCAGCCACTATTTCTTGAGCACCTGGTGTATGTCAGGCACTGTTGTAGGCACTGGGGACACAGCAGGGAGCAAAACAGACAAGTCTCTGCCCTCATGAAATTCATTTACATCCTAATGGGAAGAGACAAATAATGTAAGTGAGTATATAGCATGTCAGCTGTGAGAAATGCTATGGAGAAAAATAAAGCAGAGTAAGGGAATTAAGGAGTGATGGGATGGGGAGGCATTGCTTTTTTAAATAGTTTGATGAGGAAAGACCTCTCTAAGAAAGTGACATTTAACTTGACTTCTGAGGGAAGTGAGGGAGCATTCCAGGCATGGAGAAGGAGTGTTCTAGATGGAGGGAACAGCAAGTGCAAAGAGCCCTTGACATGTCTGAGAAACAGATAAGAGGCCAGTGTGGCTGGCGTGGAGAGAGAGGGGAGAGTCGTCAAGTAGTAAGAGGTGAGAGCAGATGGGAGGAAGGTCTCAGCACAGGTCAGGCCTCTGGCTTTGCTGAGAGTGATGGATGCCTTTGCAGGGTTTTGAACAGAGGAGGCACATGATTTGACTTAACGTTTTAACAAGCTGTTTCCTGCTGCTGTGTTGAGAATAAGCTGTAGGCGGCACCAAGGTGGCAGCTGGGAGGGTATTGCCACAAAACAAGCAAGAGATATGATGGTTTAGGCCAGTGGTAATGGTGGAGAGTGTGAGAAGAGGACAGATTCTGGATGTATTTTGAAGTAGAGCCCGCAGAATTTGTTGATGAACTTGATGCAGAGTGTTAGAAAAAGAGAAGACTTCAAGGTTATTGGCCTGAATAACTGGAAGGATGGAGTTATCTATCACTGAGATAAACAGAGGTAACAGAAGTAAAGGGGAGAGATGGCCATGGTAGAAGGTGGATTACACCTTTAAATTTTTAAAACATATTTTTATTTAAAATAGCCCTCACTCCCTGGCCCAGTGCACACAAAGGACCTGATTTGCTTTTACCCTGAGTTTGTCACTGTAGATATCCTGGAATACTTCGTTAAAAACTATAAATAAAGTGGCCATAATACGGCTCATTTTGTTCAGATTCTAAAAAAAAATTCCTTCATAAGCAGTTGGCTTCCAAATAGCAATGCATGCTGTCAGTTTGGTGACTAATTGGGTTAGAGGTTAATAGCAAGGCAGTCCTATAAACATCAACGGGAGTGGTGTATCCAAATGAAAGCTTGCATTAGGCAACAATTCAAAGAATGAGAATGACTAAATACCATGTTACAAGCCAAGTGAATTATATTAAGAGTTTTAACTTTGAGAGAAAGGGACGTTACCCCTGAAATAACTATCTTAGTTGGATCTTCCCTACTTAATACTCATAGTTGGGTTGTAAAAATGTAAAGGTTACCATCAAAACAGCACTTCTTAACCATGAAATTGACTAACTTTGTAAAATTAGAAATTCTGTTACTTACTTCCTACTATGCTGATTGGACATTCCTTCTTTTGCCAAAAGAACAGAAAGTTGGATTTTGTGCCTTCTAGCCAAGAGAACCACACACCTCTCTCTCTGTAGACCAGCTAAATGCTTCCTACTGCTCGGTGATGAAATCAGATCATGGAATCAGTCAGTTTGCTATACTGAATTTTTTTTTTTTCAGCTGTGTTCTAATTGAACCTTTGGGGAATAAACTAATTCTTAACATCTGAAAGTTTAAAGGTCTGATACTAGAATTTATGGGGTGGTAGAGGAGACCTTTTAGTCTCTGTATCCAAACCAAAATGTAAATTTACTTTTATTTATTTTTTATTTTTTGAGAAGGAGTCTCGCTTAGGCTGGAGTGCAGTGACATGATCTCGGCTCACTGCAACCTCTGCCTCCCGGGTTCAAGCAATTCTCCCTACCTCAGCCTCCCAATTAGCTGGGATTACAGGTGCTCTTCACCACGTCTGGCTAATTTTTGTATTATTTAGTAGAGACAGGGTTTTGCCATGTTGGCCAGGCTGGTCTTGAACTCCTGACCTCACGTGATCCGCCCACCTCAGCCTCCAAAAGTGCTGGGATTACAGGCGTGAGCCACTGAGCCTGGCCAATTTCTTTTTTTATTGTGGGATAATCATTCCATACTTCTCCCTCCTCTCTAGTCCCCACCCCCACCCCCCTTTTTCCCCCCACAAGTGAAGATGATTTCCTGTGCTGGTCTAGGATTAGTTTTGTTACAGTCTGTCTTTATAAGAACATTTCTTTTCCATAATCCAGAAGCATTTTGTAAAACCTATGCCTGGAAATTGAGTCACTTTTTATTGCTTAGATTTTCTTCACAGAAAAACATAGGTTCTGTTGGATGAGTATTTGTTGTGAAAGCAAATTATTAAGGGGTGAAAATTGTCTATACAAGTTGATGTATAGGAGGATATCTGAACTGGATTAGTTGCTCTTTTATCTGTGTTTTCAAAGCTCTTTAATAGTAACTCTTATAACACTTATAACAGTGTTATCACTATTGTTTGGGCATCATTCCATTCTGCTAGACTGGGAATTCTTTTATAATACAGTGCCTGATAGGCATCCATTCATTCCTTGAAATAATGTATTGAGTGCTCATTATGTGCTTGAAATAGAGTGTGTGCAGGAGCCAGAGCAGTCGGCAGAACAGATGCAGCTTGTGTCGCATGTGCGTACAGCCCATGGCAGGGTGGGGGGCAGGGGACCCAGCAAACAAGATACAGATAACTGCGCAGTACAGTGCCAATATGCACAGGAACAGTGACTGTCCCCTACCTACATAAATGCATAGACCTCATATGTGTATTGTGAATCCTCTATAATTGTTGAATTTGACTTTGAAATTAAACACTTGATATTTTAGACTAGTCAAAAATGGGATATGTTATTATTTTAATAAAAACACCATTGTATCCAGCCGGGCACAGTGGCTCACGCCTATAATCCTAGCACTTTGGGAAGCCGAGGCGGGCAGATCACCTGAGGTCAGGAGTTCAAGACCAGCTTGGCCAACATGGCAAAACCCCGTCTCTACTAAAAATACAAAAATTAGCTGGGTGTGGTGGCACACGCCTGTAATCCCAGCTACTTGGGAGGCTGAGGCAGGATAATCACTTGAACCCTGGAGGCCTAGGTTGCAGTGAGTCGAGATTGCACCACTGCACTCCAGCCTGGGCAACAGACTGAGACTCTGTCTCAAAAAACAACAACGACAACAAAAATAACACCACTGTATCCATATTGCCTACAGGAGAAAATGCAGATCACTTATTTTATGTATGTGTTGAATCATTTTAAATAACCTGACGGAGGTCCTTTCTTGGGCCCATGCCTCTGCACATGTTGGGCATGTTGTAGTTGTCGTTACTAGCAAGACACACCTACCCTTTAAGACCAGTCTAAATGCCACCTTGTTCCCTCCATGTAATCTCAGAACTTCTTTAAGGGCAAGGACCAAATTACGTCTGTGAAACCCTAGAGTTTGATCTACCACTTCACGTGGAGGCATGGGACAGAGGTTTTGTTAATGAGTGAATGTATCCATTTAATAAGTTCCTTCTTCAGTACACTCTTGAGACCTATTCTGGCTTTCCCAGGAAACAGCTGAAGGAGTGACCTCCAATCAAGTCAGCTCTGTGTCAATCCTTCATTTTCGGATGTTTTTTCTTCCTTTTCTCACAGGGTCATAAGGATCAAATGTAATAATGATGTAAGAGTTAAGCGTATTCAATAAAGGGAGGCAGTGGAATCATCACAATGTTGATCATCACAATCAACATTATTATTACTGCACCACTATAGTTCCTTGTAATACACAGTCCAGAAATATTATCACAAAATCTCACTGAGGATGTCATTGTTCTGGGTTTGACCTAGATGTTGATGTAATGAACAGTTCTCTATCAGTTAGTGTGTTGGCCTAGCACAGGTGCTTGACAAAGGCCCTATTCAGACTTCTGTGCATTACTTCAAACCCCTCCCTTTGCTCCCATAGTATAGTAATGAATTAGGAGTCATATCTTTTGACTGGCAAGGGACTGCCTAAAGCAGATCCCTGCAGATTGGGGCCTCACTGTTTCTGTGGGTATAAAGAACCTCTCGGGAGAGCCTGAATGATCAGGAGATCTGAACTGGGGAGCCATCGGCCCAGCAGGAGGTGCCTCTGCTTGGCCAACCAGAGCCTGCTGCAAGAAACCTTTTTTTTTTTTTTTTTTTTGGTTCTGACAGGCTTGTTGGGGAAATTGAAAATCTCCTGTTTGAAAGCCAGATAATTTAAAATCCTTTCTGATTCAGAATCTCAGCAAGTAGTGAAGGGCTAGGTTATTGATTGTGGGAAATGGGGCAGCCTCAAAGGGCTCTGGGCTATCTCAGTACCCCATCTCCCTCACCCCTCACGCTTCCTCAGGTTTCTCTCTCATGCTAGCTTGGAATGGATGGTGTATTTCCTACCCAGTTGCCTTTGTTTATAAGCATCCACCACCGCTGCAGTAGGGTCAGGAAACTGGCAATTTCCTCAGTGATCCTTGCCCTTGAACCCTATCTCCTCCAGCCTAGGAAGTATTCAGACCAAGTACTCATGTGTGACTCTCCAGTGCTTCTGGATAGAGAAGACCCTCTGAGCTGCCCTAAACTCGCAAGAGAATACTCCACAGGCTTATGTAAGCCAAACCAGATCATGAGTCAGACATCTGAACTCATCAACAAAAAGTGCTCCAGGAAAAAGAAATGGTCTACCTGGCATATTATTGTTTGAAAATTTATTTTAAGTCAATCCTCTATTTCATTAAGGGTAATAATAATCAGTCTACAATGCAAAACTCAGGGAAAAGTAAATTTCATTTTGTATAGCTGTAATATAACATTTTTTACTCTGCTCAAAATTCTTGAAATTGTTAATCCAACTCTATAAATTAGGATATTTGAGTAAAGTAAGTATCCATTGTTTGACTGTGCCAGAAGCAGGAGTTAACTTTTTCTTTCTCTGGTTAAAATTATCACTTACTTGATAGCTAAGTAATTTTTTGAAAGTCTCTTATATCCTGATGGTACACTAAGGCCCTGAAGAGAGTATAAAGGTGCAAGATTCAGTCCCCTCTCTCAAGAAACTAGCAGTATGATTGGATGGATAAGATTTATGCATGTGAAACAGAGAATGCTAGATATTTTGGGTGGTAATCAAGTGTAATAGTATGTGATTTTAGTTATAAGCGTGATGAGTGCAGGAAGGGAGATGAAAAATAAATAATATTTAGTGAACTCCACTACTACAGAATAAATATTTATAATATTTTCTATTTCATCAGGAAGAACAATTTGAATCACTGGCTTAATCACTGGTGGGGGGCCTGGTTTTTAGTCTGTGTCTTAAAATTCTTAGCTCACTTATGTCATTTGTCATATGAACTTTTTGGAGAAAGAAATATTTAGTTTTTATACGTAGTTTTTAAGACTTTAAAGGTTTTATAACCCTTTTCTTGAAAAATTAAGACATCAAATCAGCAAGTATTTATTGAGCACTGACCTTGGTCTGAGGCATGTACATTTTTTAGTTTTTAGACAACAGTAAAGTAACCCTGAAATAATGCCTACAATGACTTTGATAAGTACAAGATGGTGAGTTGAGGTTTTAGCCAAGAACCTTTGTTTTCTCTTGCTGAATATTTTTCTCTTTGGTTATGTGGTAGAATTTAGAGCTCAAAATGTTCAGACTGTTTCTGTCCAAGTAGCATTCTCACCATGGTCAAGATTTGTTTAGTGATTTATAATTAATTAGATAAAAGTACGCAAAGCTTTTTGGGCTTTGTACTGGGAAGTGCTACATAAGACTGCGTGGTAGTGGTTTGGGCCTCATTGCTTATATCTGACATAGCTTCCAGGATTTATGCCTGTCTCCACCAAGATTCTTTTCCTCTTTAATGAATTTGAAAGTAACTATTTATCTTGAATGAAATTAGTTTTTTCTACCTAGAGCTGGGAGTTTCATTTTCTAATCAGAATGTCTGATTTATTTATGTGCCTGCCAAAAAAATCCCAAAATACTGGCCGCCTGAGTTCTGGCTAATGTTTCCAGGTGCTCTGTTTTGAAAACATTCCGTTTCTACCCTGTATTACAGATGCTCTTGCGTACAGTGAAATCTTGTGATAAATATTTTTCAGTGAACATAAAGTATTTAAAAAATAAACGAATGGCAGTATTAGTCATACATTGACCGAATGCCACCAGTGTATTATTTATCATCATATACAGGACATAGTCCAAGACACAATCCTTATTTAGTGGTTCTGTAGTCTAATTATCTGTAAAATGGTCATGTCAAAAAAAACCAAGGAACCATCAGTTGGGCAAATTGTTTGCAATTATGATTAATAACTTGCTGTGGTTAATTAATGGGAAAATATATATGGCTTCTAACGGGCTGCTAGTTTCACATATATAAGCAGTGTGTATTCAAAAGAATTTATACCAAGTAATTATTTATTACTACATTCTAGGTTTAATTCTTACTTGTGTTTTCAAGCCATTCAAGGAAAGTGAGCACAAGTAGGTGATAGCCACCATTCTTTATGGTAATATTATTTAGGTCTTAAAATCAGTCAGAGGCAAATTATATTATTTGAAAAATGATTGCTTTTCACAGACTAAATTATCCTTATATTATTTTTCCTTTTTTTTTTTTTTTTGAGGCTTAGTCTCAAGCTGTTGCCCAGGCTGGAGTACAGTGGCATAATCTCGGCTCACCTCAACCTCTACCTCCTGGGTTCAAGCGATTCTCCTGCCTCAGCCTCCAGAGTAGCTGGGATTACAGGCACCTGCCGCCATACCTGGCTAATTTTTTTTGTATTTTTAGTAGAGATGGGGTTTCACCATGTTGGTCAGGCTGGTCCCGAACTCCTGGCCTCAGGTAATCCACCCACTTCGGCCTCCCAGAGTGTTGGGATTATAGCTGTGAGCCACTGTGCCCAGCCTCTTTTTTTATTATTTTAACATACTTTGAAAATACTTAATACCTATCTAGACCAGACCTCTTTTGTACCAGATATATTTATTTTGGTCTAGAGAAAATGAAGACAACGTATTAAAGTTGGGTGTACCCAATGCAAATATCTGTTTAAATTCAGTGTTCAGATTGGAGTTTTGTGGGCAAAATATTTAACAAGAATTGTATTTAACTTACCTGTGATTTTGACTCACATAGACTTAGCTGAAATGAAACATAGTAAGTACAGATTTAAATATGTATGTATTTGAGTAGAAATCTTTCCACCTGTATGCAGGTAGTTTTTTGTAATAATGAAAGAAAATGATTTCATTTTAGTTCTTTTATTTGATGTGACAGGAATTGATTGGTTAGTCAAGAAAGTTGGTTAAAAGCAGGGAATAAAAATGTGCATCCACTCTCTGTATGTGTTAAATATTTATTAATATTTTAACTTTTGAAATATATCATGTATGTGTATTTGCCACTTGTTTGATGGAGGTTCCAGGCTTTTCTTTGAGCATGGGTTGGAGTTTCCATCTTTTTTCTCAATAATTTTCAGTCTCAGTTTCTTTAAAGGCATTTGTGAAGAATCTGAATGTAGAGTTCTTCTAGATTGTAATTTCCCCCTCGACCTTTTACAGTTTTTTTCACTGTTAATCAAATCCATCTAAAAGCATTCAGCTACGTGTCCATAGAGACTGCAAGTCTTTTTTTGTGCACATAGCTTATTGGATGTTGGATAACAATATTTAATTAAGGTTCTTGATTATAGTAACAGGCATAACTGACACAAACAGGTTTGAGAACAAGCGCAATTAAGCACAGAACTCAACAGATGGAAGCAGAAGTGCCTGGGTGCCCTAGACAATAGCTTATTTGCCACTAGTGTTGAGGATTTTGTGGGGAAGTAAAGAGCTCTGGGCTGGTGAGGCTGGTAGGGGCGGTCAGTGAAGAGGGCTTTGTTTTCCTTGTCTGAGGCTTGTCTCCAACTGAAAGGCCTCCTTTCCTCTCCTGTCCCTGGGTGAATCTTTGCTCAAGTCCCCTGTATTTTCATCACAGCCATCACCCCTCCCCTTTCCACCCGTGTCTACTGCCTTTTCCTCTGCAGTTTGTTTCTGAACTGACTGAAATCTCTGTCAGTCTCCGTGTTAAAATTCCCTTCAAGACTCACCTCCTTAGAGAAGCCCTGTGGATGGACTATACCCAGCTTTTACCCTTCTATTGATGATTTTTGATCCATCTATATAGCTTTAATGAAATAAAACTTCAAAAACCTGAATTTTAGTATTAAATATGCTGCCACTCATATAATAAGTGTTCAAGTATTTCTTTAGCCATGTGAACTTACATTAGAAAATAATGAAATTCTTGAGATGGTTAATTTTTAAAGCTGTTTACCATACCTTTCTTTTAAAAGGGATGGAAGATCTGGCCTTTTAGAATATGATTTGCCAGCCTTCCATAGAGTATACTATTGAAGAAAGCAAGAAATGTGTGTTTGCGGGATTCTGTTGCTCAGGCTGGAGTGCAGTGGCTCAAGCTTGGCTCACTGCAACCTCCGCCTCCTGGGTTCAAGCGATTCTTCTACCTCAGCCTCCCCGAGTAGCTGGGATTACAGGCGCATGCCACCACGCCTGGCTAATTTTTGTATTTTTAGTAGAGACAGAGTTTTGCCATGTTGGCCAGGCTGGTCTCAAACTCCCGATCTCAAGTAATCCTCCTGTGTTGGCCTCCCAAAGTGCTGGGATTACAGGCGTGAGCCACCACGCCCGGCTGAAAGCATGTTCTTGAATGTATATGTGTGTTCTCTCCCCATGTGATTTGTAAACCCTCCAAGGCTTGGGTCTCACATTCTCATTCTTTGAATCTTTTATGGCATAATGGATAGAGAGTCTGTGCTCTTGTCCAGTTGAAGTAAGTAGTGGGCGCTCAAAAAATGTTGATTGGCCAAAATATCTACATCAAGTACAGTAACGACTCATAGCTGCTAACATCTTTTGAGCAATTAACATGCACCGTACACTGTCTTAAGCACTTTATATATGTCACCTCATGTAATTCCCACAACAACTATAGTTATCCCCATTTCACAGATGTAGAAACTAAAACTTAGAGGAGTCAGATACTTGGCCAAGATCACACGACCAGAAAATGATAGAGCTAGGAAAGTAGAGACAGGAATCAAACTCAGTGAGTCTGATTCCAGATTCTGCAGCCTTGACTCCTTTACCCCATGCCTGGTGGATCAGTAACCTTTCAGAAAATTTTTGTAACAAGTTCTGAAAACATAGATGAAATAGGAATTTTCCCTTAAACTAAATGGAAAACTAAAAAAGTAATCATTAGATGGAGCAGATTTCTGCTAAATGGGAAGTCTTGGGAGGGCCTCATTAGAAAATGAGGGAATGGGGGGCCAAGCATGGTATCATCTGCTACCCAGTGAGAAAAATATCGACTTACGCTGTGAACCCTTTTATTTTATACATGTACCACCTGAATGAGGATGGTATATTTATGAGCTCTCACATCTCATTGCTGGGTGACATCAGGGAGCTCTTTTTTGGGATAGCTGTCCATCTGTTCTCCTCCAGGAACTCCTGGATCCGTGCCACTGCCACTTGGCTGCTGGCTTCAAAAGAGCCTGAATCAGTGAGTTGCTTACACCAGGGAGAACAAACAGGCTCTTCTCCTTAAAGTGTCTGTAATTATATGACCATAATTAGAAATAAAACCTTCTTTATACAATTTGAGCTCACAAGGAAAGACTTTCTGCATACACACCATTTTTTCCTGTGTTGTTTCACATGCTGATCAGGAAACAGGTCACTTGGCCTAATCATCCACCATTGAATAGAGTGGAGAGAGCCAGATTCCCCACAACCCCCTAGGTTGCTGCATGTCCTTGAGGTAGTCTCCTGCCCTCTCTAAACTTTTGTAGCATTATGTATGATGAGGTTAGTATAGCCATGTAGGAAATGTTATGAGAACCTTAGTGCCTGCTATTAGTTCCTTGGAAAAAAGAGATAGCCTAGACATAAGTAACTCATGAGTAGAGACTACCAGTTTTGGTGCAGTTAGGGTTTTGAGTTTGTTATCATTTTAAACAGTAACATTGTTTGGGTGGTTCTGTGGTGTTCGAAGAGATGTAGGTCACCGTTGATTTTTGCCTGATGGGTTTTGAGTTTGAGTAGATGTTGATTAATTCATGAGCCCCAACTGCAAGATAGATGTTCAGTATTGATTAGACACATGCCCCTGGTTGTATGCTGTTAAAAAGGAGTCAGCTGTGAAATACTCCTAAAGCTAAATCAATAAACTACTAAAGTTGTTTTCCCCCAATAAGTGTTTGTATTTTATCCCTTTAAGTGAGAAAGGCTGTTAGGAATTTCTGTGATCTGGCCGTTAAGAAAACTAGCTGTATCTTTGGAACAATATGCTCATATGTTAGCCATTCCAGGTGAGTATAAATTATTCATATATACATCTTCGCTGAGGATAACAATGGCTTAATGGAGGAGAAAACACAACAATTTTCTTTGAAAAATTGTCTTTATTCTGGTGACATAGGTAGACAACTTTGCTGAGAGCACACCTAAGTACTAATAAAAATTTCAAGGGATTGAGACATACATCCTCACAGAGTAAGAGTTTAAAAATGCCTACAATTGGCCGGGTGCGGTGGCTTATGCCTGTAATCCTAGCACTTTGGGAGGCCGAGGCGGGCAGATCGCCTGAGTTGAAGAGTTTGAGACCAGCCTGGCCAGCATGATGAAACCCTGTCTCTACAAAAAATAGAAAAATTAGCTGGGCGTGGTGGCAGGTACCTATAATCCCAGCTACTTGGCAGGCTGAGGCAGGAGAATCGCTTGAACCTGGGAGGCGGAGGTTGCAGTGAGCCGAGATCGCACCATTGCACTCCAGCCTGGGCAACAGGGCAAGACTCCGTCTCCAAAAAAAAAAAAAAAAAAAGCCTACAATCCCTGTTATAATCATGGCCAGTAATTGCTAAGCAATTAGCTGTACTATTAGAATGAGTCACTACCAAGTTTTCTGCCTTGGCAATTTTTTTCTGAAAACTTTATTGAATTTAGAACAATTTCTGGATGACTTTTTTTCTCTCAACATACAGACATTGACCAGTCTTCATAAAATCCACTAAACTCAGCACCTTCTAGGCTTGTCTTTCTCCTTTCCTTGCCTTCTCTTCCAAATTCCTAGAATGGGCCGTGTGAACTTCCTGACTGACCATGCCGGCTGCATCCTTTAAATCTTTACAGTGGCTTCTCATTTCCTTTTGCATCTACTCTGGCTGTTCACGCCACACATCAGAATCGATCACCAGCAGGCTCTGGAGTCTCATTTCCCTCATCTGCTGCGTGGGTCTCCAGTCTTCTCCCTCCATTCATTCATTTTCAGTTCCTCTAGGCAGCACCTTCTTCCTTGAGCCTTTTCTCAAGAGCTATCGTTTTCTTAGACTCTGTTCTCTTTTTTTCCTTCTGTTCCAAGTAACTCTTGAAATCCCGTCTTCCCTAAAAGTCTTTTTGAATTAACTAGAGAGTTGCTGATGGGCTCTTCTTCATTCAGGTCTGACAATAATAGACCTCCCATAGCTTCTTCCTCTAACATCCACCCCAATTATACTCACCTCTGCTTCCCACTTCCAAAATGACCCTTGCTCTTGACTTATATCTACTGACAGAATCCCTTCCCTGTCCTGGTTACTGTTTCTAATTTAGAGATCCACACAGGGGTGAAGAAAGCAGGTTCTGAGATGAACTGCCTGAGTTGGATTCTGAGCTCTGTCACTTGCAGCTATTCTCTTTGGGCCCATTATTGAACAATTTCTGTGCTGCACAATTTCTGTGCCTCAGCAAGACTCGAGCGTAACACTGACCTCACAGGATTGTTGAAATAATTTAAGCACTTAACACAGTACATGGCATGTAGTAAACATGCAATAAACATTTACTGTTATTTATTAATTGGAGAGAATGAAGAGCACACCCGATATTATACATATGTACATACATTTACATACACACACATATATATATATACACACATCTGTGTACTCATATATAGCTACATAATTTGGAAAAGTATTTAGAATTATATCTTTTTTAGAAAATGAAAACAATATATCTTTTTTTTTCATTTTTTTTTTGAGACAGAGTCTCGCTATGATGCCCAGACCAGAGTGCAATGGCATGCGCCACCATGCCTGACTAATTTGTAAAACTTTTTGTTGAGACGAGATCTTGCTATGTTGTTGCTCAGGCTGGTCTTGAACTCCTGGCTTCAAGCAGTCCTCCTGCCTCAGCCTCCCAAACTGCTGGGATTACAGGCATGAGCCACAGAGCCTGGCCAAAAATACATCTTTTTAAATGCAAAACATACCAAGTAAAATTGAACAAAATCCTGGCTGGTGAGGCAAGAGTTTAAACAAGGGAGGAGAAGCACTGTACCAGTTGTTTCTACACACCTATGAAAGATCTGGCATGAATGGCTTGGTCTTTGTTTAAAAGCATAGAGCGCCATGTGTATGTATGGACACTTGCATGCTTTTGAGTGATGATGATTAGGGTGAGAGATTTTCCTTAGGAAAGTTTCAAAAGTAGTCACTTATCTACTCAGTTTTAAGTAAATAGAAAATAATTTTTTTTAAAAGGATAGTGTGAGGAAGTAATTTTGTTTTTAAAAGGATAGTGTGAAGAACACCCTAAAAATGTTTGTAGAAGAGGATTATTCAGATAAATCTGTAGTGAGTTTATGCATACCTCCTTTAAAATCTATCTTTAGTACAGCCATTATTTAGCATGAAGATGATTTGTTGCTTTTGTTTTCCAAGTTTTGTTGCTTGTAAATAATCTGTTAAGAAATTTTGGGCCGGGTGCGGTGGCTCTTCCCTGTAATCCCAGCACTTTGGGAGGCCAAGGCAGGCGAATCATGAGGTCAGGAGTTTGAGACCAGCCTGGCCAACATGGTGAAACCCTGTCTCTACCAAAAATACAAAAAAATTAGCCGGGCATGGTGGCAGGCGCCTGTAATCCCAGCTACTCGGGAGGCTGAGGCAGGAGAATCACTTGAACCCAGGAGGCAGAGGTTGCAGTGAGCCAAGACTGCGCCACTGCACTCCAGCCTGGCAGACAGAGTAAGACTCCATCTCAAAAAAAAAAAAAAAGAAATTTTGTAAAACATGCTGAAGGGAATCCTGGGCCAACAGGTATTTTTAAAAAATAATATACTATTCCCAGGTTTATGTTGATTATTTATATTTGAAAATGTTGATTGTAGATACTGGTAGATTACTTTCAAATTAATCATTTATTCCTAATTGACCAGGGATGAGTGAGATGTTTATTTAGAAAACAAATAATTTTAGATAGGAAAATTGAATCTTTAAAAAATAATGGTGATTTAATATATCAATGTGTGGTTTTTGTGTGTATGTGTGTAATATTGGAGCATCCAGGAGTGTGCGGTGTGTATATGACCTTATTTTTCTACTGTATCTTAGAGGTTGCCACTTCCATGGGTATAAAACTTAATTGGATTTCTCGATTTTTATTTTGTTTATGCACTTTTACAACTTATGTCATTTTAGGTTGTTTATTAATGCCAGTTTTGTATAATAAAATTATTAGAGAAGTTATGAAGGAGGATGGCATGAGAAGGGTGGCCAGAGTTTCACTGTTTCATGTTTGTAACTTTCATTCCTTTTGAAGTGTACATTTATTCCTAGTGATAGAAATTGATGTTTTCTTTGGCAAGCATTAGAAGCAAGTCTATGTGAAATTATGTAATGTCTGAAAAGTTATATTCATGATTAATTGGCCTATCCAAGAATGGTATTTGTGTGTGTGGAATAAGGCGATCATGCTTTTTATTTGGCAGTGAGTTAAAGTGCCCCTGCTCAGATCGGGTTACTCCACAGGGCTTTTTGACTGAGAATTGTATGTTTAGCTTAATCTCTAAAAAGCGTAAAATGTAGCTTCGGAGCCAAATATGCTGGAATTCATATTGTAACCAAAGTTAATCTTAGGATAACTTTAAAAGCAAGCTGTTCCACTCTCACACCTTAGTTAACAAATAAAGCCAAGAGGTTTAAAACAACATCATCATCATAATAGTCTCTGAAAGCACAGCCAGCCTTCATTACCCAAAGCTAGACTGTCTGCACTGTATTGTCAAATATTAATTTAAAATCTTCTTGACCTTGACCTAAACTGATAAGTTATAATGATCTATTTATTTATCCAAGCTGGACTTTACAGGAATGAGAAAAAGAAGGTCTTTAAATAATTGCCTCCTCCTGTGTGTCAGCTTGAGAAATTATGACCTCCATTACTAATATTACAGTGATGGTGAACTTGATAGATAACTAGAGACAGGGTAATGCAATGGTTCTAAAGCCTGACTACCCTGGGAAAGTTAACTTCAGTTTCTCATGTGTAAATGGAGATAATGTTACCTCTCTTCTTGCATTTTAATCATTAACTAAATGCTTACCAGAATATCTGTTCATAGTAAGTGCTCTTAAATGTTTGCTTTTGCTCTTAAATTATTGCTGTCGCTGCTTCTGCTATTACTGCTATGATAACTACTACTAACTACTGCAATTGCTGTCACCAGCAACCACTACAATTACTATTATTCCAGTTCCTCCTCCAGGGCTTTCACTATAGGGTTTAACTCTTTGGTGAATCCTCATATCGAAATGGTAAAACATACCCCAAACATACCCCAGAGTTGAATATGAGTTGTTTTGGCAAGATCATAGCTCACTGTAACTTCAAACTCCTGGGCTCAAGCCATCCTCCCTCCTCAGCCTCCCAGAGTGCTGGAATTATAGACATGAGCCGCCTCACCTGGCTGTTTCGTTGTTGTTGTTGTCGTTGTTGTTTTTAAATGACCTGTATTCTTACCATTCAAAAATGTGGACCGCAGGTCAGCAACATCAATCTAACCTGGGAGCTTGTTTGAAATGCAGGATTTTGGCCCCATCCTAGAACCACTGTATCAGAATCTGCATTTTAACAGGACGTTAAAAGATGTTCTGTTTGCATATTAAAGTTTAAGAAGCACTGATCTACACCATCCTCCCCACCCCCCAGCTATCCCCCAAATCATCTTAATGATTTAGGGATGGCTCCCTACATAGACTACCAGCAGTATCATGTGAACCAGGCCCTCAAAGTAGATAGGGCAGGTAATTGGAAAGAAGAGAAGATGAAGTGGAAAAAGAGAAGAAAGAAGGGAGAGAGGAAGAAAAACCATGCCTGACAATACTGATATTTTACCTGTATAGATGGGTCTATGCTTACTGATTATTCTTTGAGTCTTTAGATTATTCTTTGTTGTGACACTGAATATGGAAAGGAATACTGAAATTTTATGGGCTGGTAAAAAATTTCCATGCCCTTGTAATTTCCAATGATCTGTCAAACATACATGGAGAGTTTCCTGTTAACTCATGGTCTCAGATAAATTATGCACCCTTTATTTTCTCTTTTTTTGTGAGACAGAGTCTCACTCTGTCACACAGGCTGGAGTGCAATGGCACAATCTCGGCTCACTGCAACCTCTGCCTCCTGGGTTCAAGCAATTCTCGTGCCTCAGCCTCCTGAGTAGCTGAGATTACAGGTGCCCGCCTCTATACCTGGCTAATTTTTGTAATTTTAGTAGAGACAGGGTTTCACCATGTTGGCCAGGCTGGTCTCGAACTCCTGACCTCAGGTGATCTGCTCACCTCGACCTCCCAGAGTGTTGGGATTACAGGTGTGAGCTGCCGTGCCCAGCCCCTTTATTTTCTTAACACACACACACACACACACACACACACCAGTCCCCTTGTATTCATGCTTTAGTTATCTTTTTAGTGTGAAGATGGTGTGCTTCCTATGCTGATCCTGCAAGATCACTGGATAGGAGAGCAGAGTTTGGTTTACTACTCTCTGCCTGTTTGGTAGTGCTTCTACTGCTGTTTGAGTTGATTCTTCCAATGTAAAGGCTGTGAGGATGTATGGGAACACTAATCTTTGATATTAACTATGAATTATGGGTGCTTGTGGAGGTACAGCTTTATTTGTATTATCACATACTAGGGGCTAAGGAAAATTACCCCTTTTTGACTTAAAATATGACCTTGGAGTCTGTTTTTTTGTTGTTGTTGTTTATTTGTTTTTTGAGATGGAGTCTCTGTTGCCCAGGCTGGAGTGCAGTGGCACAATCTTGGCTCACTGCAACCTCTGCCTCCTGGGTTCCAATGATTCTTCTGCCTCTGCCTCCCAAGTAGCTGGGACTATAGGTGTGCGCCACCACGACCGGCTAATTTTTGTATTTTTAGTAGAGACGGGGTCTCACCATATTGGCCAGGCTGGTCTCAAACTTCTGACCTTGTGATTCGCCCGCCTCGGCCTCCCAAAGTGCTGGGATTACAGGCGTGAGCCACTGTGCCCAGCTGGAGTCTATTTTTTAAAGTTGATTTGAGAAACAAGTTTATGGTATGATTTTAAACAACTAAATTGGCAAAGGGAAGAAATTTGATAAAATATGTTGGAAGTGTGCAGTGATACAACCTGTCGCAATTTAAAATGCCTGTTTCCGTTACCCAGCAATTTCACTTGTAAGAGTTTATCCTATAGATGTATTTGCACATGGAAGTGTACATGTGTACATTTTTATGTAGAAACAAATGAGTAGTAATAACATCAATATTAATTAGGATGAGACTGGGACTGGGTTGAGAAGTTGAGACTGCTGCAACTTCTTTTTTTAAGGTGTTATTTGTGTGTGTGTGTCGGGGCTATTAATGAAAGTGTCTTAATGAATCTGGTTACAATAACTACCTTTGGAGACAGGATTTGAAGGTGTTAGACCTTCAAATGTGAGGGACACTTACTTTCTATTAAAATGTCTTTGTACTGTGTGGAATTTTTTAAGAAAACCATGTGTATGTATACATTAAAATCAACAAAATAGTGCTCACATTGAGGAGTTTAAAGCTATATGTACTCGTAATTACACTTACATATTTTTCCCCTTTTTTTTTTTTTTTGAGACAGAGTCTCGCTCTGTTGCCCAGGCTGGAGTACAGTGGTGCCATCTCAGCTCACTGCAACCTCCACCTCCTGGGTTCAAGTGATTCGCCTGCCTCAGCCTCCTGAGTAGCTGGGACTACAGGCACGTGCCACCATGCTGGGCTAATTTTTGTATTTTTAGTAGAGATGGGGTTTCACCATGTTGGTCCGCCTGGTCTTGAACTCTTGACCTCGTGATTCGCCCGCCTCAGCCTCCCAGAGTGTTGGGATTACAGGCGTGAGTCACCGTGCCCGGCCTTTGTTTTTTTTTTTTTTCTTTCTTTAAAGAGAAGTTCTTGCTCTGTCGCCCAGGCTGGAGTGCAGTTATGCAGTCAGCTCATTGTAACTTCAAAATTCTGGGCTTCAAGCAATCCTCCCACCTCAGTCTATCCATAGCTAGGACTACAGGTGTGCACCACTGCACCCAGCCTTTCCCCCATTTTTAAAACATGTTTATGTACCTAAGCTCATTTATGCCTTTGAGTCCCTAAATTAGGTGGTAGGCAACAAATTCTTGGTCGCCTCACTGCTCTGTATTTTCTCTCCAACTCCTTAGACTCTTCTTAGCATAAACTGTCCAGTGTTCTGATGATTCAGAGCTGTGATTCCAAAGTTGGGGTACCATCAGAATTCTTGAAGATTGGTTACAAATTAAGATTCCTAAGTTAATCCCAGACCTATTGAGTCAAAGTCTGTGGGTGAGACTTAGGCATGTGCATTTTTTTTAGAAGATCCATGGGTAATTCATCAGAATCAGGTTAAGATTCTTCGCACCTGGTTAAAAAGCACTGTCTGGAGAGCAATTCTTGGTAGGAATCTTCTTCTACTAAAATGCCAGCTGTTATCTGTGCACCCGCACCCCCAGATCCCAGGAGTGATGTGCATGTGGCATATCACCAGGCTGAATGAGCAGATCCTCTACATCCAAGGAAAAGGGAATGTTATTCTGAATAGTCACATGGTTCTCTCTATTGAATTAGAATAATAATGGTAATGACAGAGATGATACCAAATAAGATGTCTATGTTAGAACCAACATTTTCTGCCAATAACATTACAAGTAAATAGGAGAAATCAAGAGTTGGTCCTTTGAAACATCAATAAAATTTAGAAATCTGTAGCTAGACTAATGAAAAAGAAAAAGACAAATTATCAGTAACAGGAATGGGAGAGGAGATAGCATTGAAGACATAATAAGGATAATAAAGGAATATTATGAGCAAGTTTATGCTAAAAAATTGGGTAACTGAGATGAAATCAGAATTTGTGGAAAGCCCAAATTACCACCAACACACAAACACACACACATGCATGCACACATGCACAATCTGAATAGGTCTATAGCGAGCAAAGAAATTCGGTTCATAATTTAAAACTTAGCTACAAAGAAAACTCCAGACTCAGACAACTGACAACATAATAGTGATGAAATCTATCAAATCTTTAACAATACAAATGTTAAATTCTTTCAGAAAATAGAAGAGGAGGGAACACATCCCATTTCACTTTATGAGATTGGCTTTGCTTTCATACTAAAACTAGCCAAAAACTGGCCGGGTGCCACGGCTGTAATCCCAGCACTTTGGGAGGCCGAGGCGGGCAGATCACTTGAGGTCAGGAGTTCAAGAGTTCAAGACCAGCCTGGCCAACATGGCGAAACCCCATCTCTACTAAAAATACAAAAATTAGCCAGGCATGGTGTCAGGTGCCTGTAATCCCAGCTACTCAGGAGGCTGAGGCAAGAGAATCACTTGAACCTGGGAGGCGGAGGTTGCAGTGAGCTGAGACCATGCCAGTGCACTCTGGCCTCGGCGACAGAGTGAGATTTTGTCTCAAGAAATAAAATAAAAACGAAACAAAGACTTTGCAAGAAAAGGAAACTATGGAACATTCCTCATGAACATAAACACAGATTTTTTTAATTAGCAAATTAATCCAGAAATATATAAAAAGGATAATACATTTTGAGTTTTACCTAGAAAAGGGTTTATCCAGAAATACAGTTGATTTAATATTGTGACATGAAGCAAATATATGATCATCTTATTAAGATAAGGAAAAACAATCAACAAAGCTAAAAATCCATTAATGATATAAACTCTTAGCAAACTAGGAATAGAAGAAACTTTTGTCAACCTGATAAAAGACATTTATAAAAAGCCATATCTGGCTGGGCATGGTGGCTCATACTTGTAATCCCAGCACTTTGGGAGGCGGAGGCAAGCAGATCACCTGAGGTCAGGAGTTCGAGACCAGCCTGACCAAAATGGAGAAACCCTATCGCTACTAAAAGTACAAAATTAGCTGGGCATGGTGGCACAAGCCTGTAATCCCAGCTACTCGGGAGGCCGATTCAGGAGAATCGCTTGAACCCGGGAGGTGGAGGTTGCAGTGAGCCGAGATCGTGCCATTGCACTCCAGCCTAGGCAACAAGAGCGAAACTCCATCGCAAAAAAAAAAAAAAAAAAAAAAAAAAAGCCATAGCTAATGTCATTATTAACAGTGAAAGACTAAATACTTTCTTCCTAAGGTCAGAAATAAGACAAGAATATCCCCCTTTCATCATTTCTATTCAGCATTGTACTGGAGTTTCTAGCCAGTGTAACAAGGTATGAAAAAGAAATGAAAGTTTGGGAGGAAGAATAATAATGTCTCTTACAGTATTAAGTATTAATGATAATACTAATACTATGTCTTACAGCATGCAGATTGAGAGGAAGAACTAATAGTGTCTCTAGTTTTAGACCATATGGTCATCTATATCAAAAATCCTAAGGAATCTTTAAGACAGCTGCTAAAACTAGAGAGGATTTAGCAGGGTCCTAGGATACAAAATGATTATTTTTAAAGTTGCATTTCTATATGGTAGCAATGAAGATTCAGAACCTGAAATAACATTTACAATAGCATCAAATACTATGAAAATATATACAGATAAAGTTAGACAAAATATAGGCAAAGCCTGTACCCCAAAAACTGTAAAGCATTATTGAAAGAAATTAAGGCAGCCCTAAGTAAATGGAGAAGTGTCCCATGTTCATAGAAGACTGATAATGTTACAATGTTAGTACTTCCCAAACTGATTTATAGAGTCAAAACAAGCCCAGTAAAGATCCCAAAAAGCTTTTTCCTAAAAATTGGGACGTTGATGAACAAATTTGTGACAAAGGATTTGAAATAGTTTAAAAATTTTTTGAAAAAGAACAACAAAGTTGAAGGACTAGTTCAGTGGGAAGAAGAAAATCTCAACAAATGATCCTGGAATAACTGGTTATACATATGGGAAAAAAAATGAACCTTGACCCTTATCTCACCTCATACACAAAAATATACTAAAAATGGTGTATAGACATATAAAAAACTAAAACTATAAAACTAGAAGAAAATGTAGGATAAAACCATTGCAACTTTGGGATAGATAAAAATTTCTTAGATTGAACACAAAAAGTAGAAAAATCGATAAATGGCACTTTATCAAAATTAGAAACTGAAGTTTTTCCAAAAGAAATTGGTAGGAAAATGGAAAGGCAAGCCACAAACTGGGAGAAAATATTCACAACACTTATATCTTATGTGTTATATACATACATACAAAGGACCTGTATCCAGTATATGTAAGGAACTCTTACAACTGAATAAGACAAACAACCCAATTAAACAATGGGTGTTACAGGTTGTGTTCCTCAGGAAGCAGCTACGGATAAAGCTCAGGTATGGGATATTTAGTAAGGGATGCCCTTGGTATTAAGGCTTTTGAGAAGGAGGGCAACAAAGCAGCACTGGATGGAGGGAGATGTTGAGCAGTGATGCGGCCCAGGAACAGCCTTGGATGACTTCACAGATTGCTCTGAAGCTGGACTGGACCTTCGGAATTTCCCTGAGTTGGGCCCTGATGGTGCCTTTTTATTTCTGCATCACTCAGTAATGTGGGCCTGTATCACTGGATATGGCCCATGCTAGGAAGGATATATCTTGGCCAGTGTGATTCTCTGCAGCTTGAGGCAATCCCTGGAGGGAGTGATAGCTGAATACTGATTTCCCATAGCATTCTTAGCTGAGACAATAGGTTTTTCACTGAAAGAGGATCTGACAATATATTGCAGTGACCATTGTAATGGGCAAAAGATTCTAACAGAAACTGTACAAAAGAAGATATATGAATGGCCATTAAGCACATGAACAACGTCATTAGTCATCAAGGATATGCAAATTAGGCCGGGCGCGGTGGCTCACGCCTGTAATCCAGCACTTTGGGAGGTCAAGGCGGGTGGATCACGAGGTCAAGAGATCGAGACCATCCTGGCTAAAACGGTGAAACCCCGTCTCTACTA
Source organism: Homo sapiens (assembly GCF_000001405.40). Taxonomy (NCBI): domain Eukaryota; kingdom Metazoa; phylum Chordata; class Mammalia; order Primates; family Hominidae; genus Homo; species Homo sapiens. Next base: position 149,323 of record NW_009646202.1, read on the forward strand.
AATATACAAAAAATTAGCCGGGCGTAGTGGCAGGCGCCTGTGTTCCCAGCTACTCGGGAAGCTGAGGCAGGAGAATGGCGTGAGCCCAGGGGGCGGAGCTTGCAGTGAGCCGAGATCGCGCCACTGCACTCCAGCCCGGGCGACAGAGCGAGACTCCGTCTCAAAAAAAAAAAAAAAAAAAAAAAAAGGATATGCATATTAAAATCACAATGAGACACTTCCATACACTCGAATGGCCAAAATTAAAAACACTGATAATACCATACCAAGTGCAACTGGAAGTGTAAAATGGCACAAGCACCTTGGAAAACACTTTGCCTGTTTCTTATAAAATAAACCTACACTTAACCGTATGCCTAGCAGTTCCACTCCTAGGTATTTACCCAAGATAAATGAAAACATGTACACAAAAAAGACTTGCATGAATGTTCATATGAAGTTTATTCATAGAGCCCCAAACTGTAAAGAACTCAGATGTCTGTCAACAGGTAAATGGATAAACAAATTTAGATATATTCATAAAATGAGGCACTGAGTAACATTAAACGGAATAATCTACTCACACATGCAACAACATGGATGAATCTCAAAAATATGTCAAGTGTAAGGTTAAGTCATAAAAGAGTACGGATTGTATGATTTCATATATGAAATTTTATAACAGGCGAAACTAATCTGTCGTGACAGAAAGCAGATGAGTGATTGCCTGGGTCTGAAAAGGGAAGAGAATGCAGGAAGGAACATTTTGGGGTGATGAGAGGGATTTATGTCTTAATTGTTAGGATTATTACATGGATGTATCATTTGCCCAAACTTTTGTTTTTTTCTTTTTTTTGAGACGGAGTCTCACTCTGTCATCCAGGCTGGAGTGCAGTGGTGCATCTTGGCTCACTGCAACCTCCGCCTCCTGGGTTCGGGAGATTCTTCTGCCTCACCTGAGTGAGGGATTACAGCCACCACACCCAGCTAATTTTTGTATTTTTAATAGAGACGGGGTCTCACCATGTTTATCAGGCTGGTCTCCAACTCCTGAGCTCAAGTGATCCGCCCGCCTCAGCCTCCCAAAGTGCTGGGATTACAGGCATGAGCCACTGTGCCCGCCGGCCTGCCCAAACTTTAAAAGGTTGCGTGTTTTTGCAAATAAATTACACCTCAATGTAATTATACTTAAGTAAAGGTGAGTTGTTTTTTAAAGTAAAACTTTTCATAATGGAGATTATTTTCATGAAGGATATTGACTGCACTTTTAATTTTCTTTTCTTATAATGTCTTCATCTGATTTTGGTATCAGAATTATGCTGGCTTCATAAAACCAATTGAGAAATATTTCCTCCTCCTCTATTTTCTGAAATAGATCGTGTAAAATTGGCATTGTGTTCTTAAATCTTTGAAATAATTCACCGCTAAAGTCATCTGGGCCTGGTAGTTCTTCTAGGGAGGTTTTAAATAATGAATCATTTTCTGTAGTAGATTTAGGGTTATTCAGATTTTCTGTTTCTTCTTGGGTTAGTTTTGATAATTTTGTCTATCAGTGAAGTCCATTTCTTATCTCTGTTGTCTAATTTATTGGCATAAAGTTGTTAATAATATTTCCCATTATTTTACCGTCTTAATGGTCTGTAGTTATATCTCTACTTTACTTCCTGATATTGGTGATTTGCATTTTCTTTTTCTTAATCAGTCTAGTTAGGGGTTTCTAATGAAGTTAAACATATACCCATCTAATGACCCAGGTGTTCCACTCCTAGGTATTTAATCAAGAGAAATGAAAGCACATATTCTAAAAAATAATGTTCATAGTGATTTTTAAAATTTTAGCCCTGAACTTAAAACAAATGCTAATCAATTATAGAGAGAACAAATAAAATTTTGTATATTTACAGTAAAATACTACTCAGTGATAAAAATTAATGAAATACTGACAGATACAACAATGTATGTGAATCTCAAAAATATTGTGGAGAGTGGAAGAAGCCCTACATAAAAAAATCATAGTGTCTGAGTCCACTTAAATGAAGTTCCAGAACAGACTTAATCAAATCGTGGTGGTAGAAATCAGATTTGTGATTGCTTAGGAAGGGAAGTGGAAAGGTATGAGCAGGGAACTAGCAGGAGAGAACTTTCTGGGTTATGGAGTGGTCTGTATTTTGATAGGGGTGTGGGTTACCAGTGTATGCATTTATTTAAAGCTCATCAAACTGTACATTTCATTGTATGTAAAATATGGCTCAACTTAGTTGTACAACAACGGGAATGTAGTCAGTGCCACTTAACTGTATGCTTAAAGATGGTTAAAATGGTAAATTTTATGTTATTTATATTTTGCCACAATTGAAAAAAAAACTGTTTGTTTGTTATATTTGGTTTTTTTTGAGACGAGTCTTACTGTGTCGCCCAGGCTGGAGTTCAGTGGCACGATCTTGGCTCACTACAACCTCCACCCCCTGAGTTCAAGCAGTTCTGCCTCAGCCTCCCTAGTAGCTGGGATTACAGCCGTGTGCTACCACGCCCAGCTAATTTTTGTATTTTTAATAGAGATGGGGTTTTGCCATGTTGGCCAGGCTGGTCTCGAACTCAAGTGATCTGCCCGCCTTGGCCTCCCAAAAAAGTACTGGAATTATAGGGATGAGCCACCGCTCCCGGCTGAAAAAACAAAAACAAACAAACTAAAAACAACAACTGTAAATGGGAAGATGTGAAGGTTCTAAATGTGCAAACATTTAAAATGTGTATTTCCCCCCATAACCGTGTGCTGTTCTATTATTATTTATTTACCATTTATATGCTAAAGTAAGAATGTAATTTAGAAACTGATAAGAAAGTACCAAGTATGAGAAATGTTACATTCGTATATTCAACAGATATTAATCAAACATCTACTGTGTGTATAATTCTTTATTATGTATAGTAATTAAGATAAACCAAACAAGGATCTTCCAAGAGCTCACCATGTACTAAGCTATTTAAGATATGCAAAATTTTACCAATGTCACCAAAATAATGGGCTTTTTCTTCCTTCTTCCTACAGTTTACCCTTAGTAGGCTTTCTACTGTTTACCCTTAGTAGGCTTTCTACTGTTTACCCTAGTAAAGATCTAGGAAATTAAGTTTAAAATCTTCACCCTCAGGGGAAGGCCTTGTCATGCCTGGTATTTCTTCTCCTGGCTTTGCTGCAGCTTGTATTAGTATGCAGGGAGGGGCTTTGGTTTTGTGCAGTTCCAACACACCTTACAGTGAAGCTGTGGTGCCAGGGAGCAGAGTCTGTCCAAGATAATGCTCATGTAAGTGCCCAGGGTGGTGCCTGGCCTAAAGCATAAGGAGATTTAGAAACTCTGCCACAAAGGGGGTCTAAGAATGAGTCTTCTGCTACACAGAATTAACTCCAAAAAACAAGGTCAGAGCTCTTGACCTTCAGGTAGTAATTATCCACATAATCCTCTTTTCCTACTGCTTATGAATACTGCAATTGAAAGGGTCAGAGGTAGTCTGAAAGCAGGGAAAACAAAAGAAGTCAGGAGCATGGAAATTCTGCACACCAGATGGTTTGTGTGCCCAGAGGGCAATTGAGAATTAAGTGTAGTAATGGAATTACACTACTTTTATTGGTTCTATGAGGACAAGCACTTGGAGTACCAATTATATTCTGCGTGGCATACTTTGGGTGCTGAGTAAATATTAGTAACTTATTGAATAGCACATAACATCTCAACTGCCATGTAAATCTCTGTGAGTGCAGGGCATTGTCAGAGGTGGTGGTGATAATATTATTGAGAAAGTGACTAGTGTCTGACTTTTCTAGCTTGTTAATAACCACTTACCTATGTCCCATCTCCTCATTCTACTTTCCTGTTTGGATCTAATTACATTCAGTTGAGTTGCCTGTGTCTCCTGAGCAGTTAGAGCAGGTTTCTCTTGGCAGGATTAATAGTAAGAATGTCTACATTCAGTTCACAGTGTGCCTAGGCAGTGTTTTGTAGCACCATATCTAAATTAAAATGAATGCCTTGGGGCAACTGCAGAAGCTCCTAGCTGCCTCTAGCTGATACACAGCTCTACTAAGTATCAGCTCTTGCTTGTGTTTCTTGTAAATTGTTGTTATGCCTATCCTTTAATCTATGCATTACTATTTTGCTTCTAGCCTCACTTGGAAAACATTCCCAAGTCATAGAGATGAATTACAATACAGAATTTCTACCAATGGCAGTACTTGCATTGTTTTCAGAATCTAGTGCCCAGGTTTTCCTACTGTTTTTCTTGCCGTCTTTAAGACAGAATTTCTATTTACATCCTTGTCGATTTTTGTATCCCTAAATAAATTATAGTCTTGAAGTCTGGACCTGCTCCAGTGAAGGTTCCTACAGCACTGAAGTTGGGAATCACTAGAGAGGCACTTTGTTAATTTTCTTTTTAAAAAGGAATGACTAAAGGTTTGTGACACTTGAATGTAAGTTGATTTTAAAATTCCATTTTTCTAAATCCAGAGTAGGGTTTATATTGCTAATATCATGATATGCTTGCCAAAGAGAATAGTTTGTAAATCCTAAACAGACTTCCTGTAACCATGTGTTGAATTTCCAGCTGTGTTGAATCAGACTTTGGTCCCTCTTCAGAAGATAAATCCAATACCTGCAGTTTCTAATGGCAGAAGTGGAGGAGAGAAGTCCCTGTCCAGATAAGAAACTGAAGGCCCTGGGGCAAGCAATTGTTTCATGAATGTCCTTTCCCCAGCCCCGCGCCCCACCCCTAAGAAATTTGTAGGCTTCATCTACCAGGAAAACAAAACAAAACAAAACAAAAAAAACAAGAAAACACACACCACACAAATGAGATGCTATTGTTAAATGCAGTATGTAGGATTAGATTTGTTTCCTTCCAATAGAATCACTTTCCTTAATCAGCACTTTTATAAATGGCACACCTGCCTGATTAGAACAAGTTCTAGACTACAGGATACAGTGTGAGCATTTCAATTAAGTCCACACAATTAAAAACTGTTGTGGTTGATGTTCTTAGAAAGACTTTCCTTCTCTCGTCTTACTCCGTTATGGCTAAGCTTTATTATTTTATACTTCTGAGTCAGCCTTTGATCATGGGACTTTCCCACTGTGTGGTCATTTATATCTTTTTTTGTTTCTAAATGATTTCTTTAAATGAAAAAAGAAGCGATGTATTTTAGGGATATATGTAGGGATGCTTTTGAATATTTTTATTTTATTAGATTTTCCTGCTTCCTTACTGTCACTTAAAATATGGAGAACCCTCATCCTGTGACAAGGAGGTAAAAATACAGCAGTCACATTCAAGATCTCCATACATTAACAATAATAAATCCTTTTGCCCTGAGTAATACAGATACTTAATCCACAGAGCTCGGGGGGATGATATAGTGCTCCCTCACAGAACCAATTACCCACAGAGAAGTATAATGAGCAGGGGAGGTGATACAATAAAAATCTATATAGGGAGAGTAGAATTATGATGACAGTGTTGCCTGTGTAAAGTCTTATAGTAAGTATATCTCCAATTATCTTTTAGAAAAAAATTGTTTGGTGTCTACTTATGTCCAATTCATGATGAAATTGCAAGAATAGCCATGGAATAAAACAAAAGGGTACAGGAGTATAGAGAAAATGGCGATAGACTTGTCGTAAACAGAGTTCTGTTCTACCCCGAAGGATGTGAAGTAGACCCAGGGCTGCTCTGAGGGAGTGCTGGGCATGAACCTCCCTGCAGAGGAATGGCTGTCCTGACCACAGTTACTGTTACTGCAGATGCAGACGGGAACAAAATAACGCTCTGGAAAAAAAATAAGATGATTTAGATCATCACAGGAAATCCCTACTTTTAGAGTTAGTGTGTTTCCGAAGACCATATCTGAAGCAGATTGCTGTGAGGGAAAATCCTGAGTGTGCATGATCTCTATCCTAATTAGGAGCAAACTTGATCTGTTCCGACAGACATCAGTTGCATAAGTGGGTTAAGTGGCAAGAAATAAAGTCTAGTTCTTTATTAGGTAAGTGTCAAATAGAGTTCTGAAGTAGCAAACAAAAAAACCTTAGTAACAACAGGAAGCAGTTTTCAGCCTTTGTTGCAGTGCCATCAGTTGTGAAGTTTGTGGACAATAATTCATTACCAGTAATAAGGCACCAAAATTTGTAAAATATTTTTCTTTTAAAAATAGACCATAACAGGCCAGACATGGTAGCTCATTCCTGTAATTCCAGCACCAGCCGAGGCAGGTGGATCACTTGAGCCCAGGCGTTCGAGATCAGCCTGGGCAACATGGTGAAACCTCATCTCTACCAAAAATAAAAAAAAAATTAGCCAGTCTCAAAAGCTTGTCTCAAAATAAATTGAATAGATTGAAATGAAAATTAAATTTAAAAAGACTAAACCGATACATAGTCTTGTTATAATTTTGTTACCATTGCAGTGTATTCATTTTACTTGGCTTCCTTCTTTTTCTTTTTTTTTTTTTAATTTTTAATTTTTGTTTCTTTTGAGACAGAATCTTGCTCTGTTGCCCAGGCTGGAGTGCAGTGGCATGATCTTGGCTTGCTGCAACCTCCCTCTCCCGGGTTCAAGTGATTCTACTGCCTCAGCCTCCAGAGTAGCTGGGACTACAGGTGCGCACCACCATGCCCAGCTCATTTTTGTATTTTTTAAGTAGAGACGGGGTTTCACCATGTTGGCCAGGCTGGTCTAGAACTCTTGGCCTCAAATGATCTGCCTGCCTTGTCCTCCCAAAGTGCTGGGATTATAGGTGTGAGCCACCACGCCCAGCGACCCTTTTTTTTTTTCTTTTAATAACCTTGTATTCTTTGTAGAGATGGAAAGAAATAGCGGGACTGGGGAGGGGGAGTGCCACCACAACTAGGTGCTGGCAACTGGTCATGCTCCAAATCTGTCTTATATAGTGACTATTACAACCTATAGTGACTATTACTAAGCAAGCCCTAATAGTGAATACTGGGCAGATAATTTTCCTCCCAACTGATTTTAAAATTTTGGTCCCGTCTTGTCAGTTTATGCCCAGGGAAGTATATAGCAAACATAAATGTCGTTTATTATGTGTGTCAGAGTAAAAAAGGTTTCAGATTAGACAATGGTGGAACCCACCTTGCCATTGATGGTTTCTTTACATGTCGTGTTTGTGGTCATTGAGGATATACATGAAAATAAAAGACAGTTGACAATATTTTGGGACCTGTGAATTGGAGAAACCAGTTCCCAACTTCAGAGCAGTTTATTCATTTGTTTATTCATTTATTCAATAGATACACTTTTGAAGCTGGGGCTACAGCAATGAACAGTCTCTGCCATCATGATGGAACTTATGGTTTAGTAAGGGAAACAGACAAATAAATGATATGCAATATTTCAGATAATGGTCAGTGCAATGAAGAAAAATAAAGCCAAGGTATGGAGCCGAGCACAGTGGCTCACATCTGTAATCCCAGCACTTTGGGAGGCCGAGGTGGGTGGATTGCTTGAGCTTAGGAGTTCGAGATGGCCTGGGAAATGTTGCGAGACCCCCATCTCTATGAAAAGTTAAAAAATTAGCTGGGCGTGGTAGTGCGCCAGTATAGTCCCAGCTACTTGGGAGGCTGAGGCGGGAGGATCACTTGAGCCCCTGGAGATCGAGCTGGAGTGAGCTTTGATCACGCCCCCGCTCTCCATCCTGGGTGACAAAGTGAGTGGTGTCTCCTAAAAAAAAAAGGTATGGAGATTCTGGAGTGGTGCCAGTGGAGTACAGTTTCAGAGAGGGATGGTCAGGGACAGCCTTTCTGCTGAGGTATATCAAGCTCCAAGTGAAAGGAGGGACAAACCATGGGGAAAGCCAGAGAGTGAAGGGCTTGGCATCAGCAGGCTGGAAGTTCCTCCATCTCACTAGTTAGGTGACCTTAGAGAGGTGGCCTTGTAGCATGGCATTCGTATTTGGGACTTGGGAAAAGCATTGTGGTAAACAGCAAAGCATTACCTAAACTTCACATTTCAGTACAGTGTAACAAGGGAGAGCAAACTAAAGAGACACAGAAGAGTCTTTTTTTTTTTTTAAGATGGAGTTTCATTCTTGTTGCCCAGGCTGGAGTATAATGGCGCGGTCTTGGCTCACTGCAACCTCCGCCTCCCGGGTTCAAGTGATTCTTCTGCCTCAGCCTCCTGAGTAGCTGGGATTACAGGCACCATGCCTGGCTAATTTTTTTTTTTTTTTTTTTTTTTTTGTATTTTTAGTAGAGCCGAGGTTTCACCATGTTGGCCAGGCTGGTCTCGAACTCCTGACCTCAGGTGATCTGCCCACCTCGGCCTCCCAAAGTGTGGGGATTACAAGCGTAAGCCACCGTGCCCAGCCAGTATTCATCTTTGCTTGCTTTTGTAGTATTATTCATTTAAGATTTTGTATTTGTTTATGCTTTTCTTTCTCCAACATCTTTTTCTTTTCATTTAGTTTGAGTTTTCCTTTTATTAAATAGTTGCAGGCCTTTTGGCTCTCAGTGGAGGCATTTTCTACTCTGTTCCTGTACTCCCTGATTAATTCATTCTTTAAAAAAATCCTCTAAGATTAATATTCATCATGGGGGCTCAGAAAATGAAAGTCTTTTATAGAGTAATTCTAAACTCCAGAATAATTCATTTGTTCTGATGCTTATTAAGGACTTGAAGTTGTTTGTTTGCTCTTTCTGTTTTTATAGCCAAATAAAATTTTGCAATACTCATAATAATATTTGAGTAGAACTTTGTAGTTTACAAAATACTTTCCACACTCACTCACATTTGAACTTTAACAACCCGAGAGCTAGACAACACAGACACTATTGTGCACTTTTACAGATGAGGAAACCTGAGGCTTAGAGAGCAGCGTTTAAATCTGGGTCTTTCTGTGGTGCAAATATGAACATATGAATGAAAAATGCTGAACTGTTTTGTTTTTAACACTTGGGATTACTAAAATGGTATGTTTTTTTAAGCAGTCTCATGAAAGATGTAGATGACTTAAGAAGTATGGATCTATAGGGGATTATGGAGAGAGAGGGTTATATGTCCCTGATCATTGTGAACAGATACCATGGAAATGGCTTACAAAACCCCTTTTTGTGTCATTGTCAGGAGGAGGATATGAATCTAAATACTCCTGGCTCTGATTTTGTGCAGGAATTTTCATTTATTTTTGTCCAGTTACTTAGACTAAGGCTAACAAATATATAGTTTCCTTCTGGGCAGAAACAGAAGTAATCACAAAGTAAAATAAAGCTTCTTAAAAATGCATTGTCCTAGATTTAAAGAATGTTTCCTTAGAAAATGCTATCTTATTTTGAGATCAAAGGTCTTGAAGACTCTTAAAATTTCTAAAGTATTATAGAATCAATAAAAATTAGAACTGGGAAAGTCCTTAGAGATTAACTCTAGAACCGTTAAAATATTTGATCTGGAAGGAACCTTTGAAGAGTCCCAGATCCCCAAATTGTGTGAGGTGAAATTGTATACTGTTGTGTCCTCAGCATCCTGATGGGGCCCATCCAGTCTCTCCATGGCCTCTTGATTATAGGGGCCTCTTATTGCCTCAAGAATAATCCATTCCACAAATACTGTATGATTTCACTTATATGCGATAGCTAGAATAATCAAATGCATAGAGACAGAAAGTAGAATGGTGTTTTCCTGGGCTGGGGGAAGAGAATATGGGAAATTATTGTTTAATGGATACAGAGTTTCAGTTTTGCAAGTTGAAAAGAGTTCTGGAGATAAATGGTGGTAATGGTTGCACAGTATTGTGAACTTACTTAATGCCATTTGAACCACAATTAAAAAAATAAAAACTAAGCAAATGAAGCGGAAAAAAAAAAGAATCCATTCCATTGCTGGACAGCTGTTGGAAAGGCTCTCTATGATGACTCCTATTGGTGTAAGTTTTGTACTCTGTAACCACAAGAACGAATCTAACCCTTTCACCTGGATGAAGACACCCAGCGAGTCCACCCCAGTCTTTTAAAGCTAAGTAGCCTTTGTTCCTTCACTAGGTCATAATATTTTGTTTTGTTTTGCTTATACTTTGTTTGAATCATGATCAAGATATGGTTCACACATTGTGATTGGCTGATACGCCCTTTAAATGTCTATTAATCTAGCGATTCTTCTGTATCTATTTTTTGCTCGCCTATTCACTTGGTCTCCTGTTTAATTTGTTGAAGAAACTGGGCCATTTTTTCCGTAGTGTTTTGGTACTAGCATCTCCCCGCTCTATAGATTAACATATTCCTCTGTCCTCTGTATTTCCTCTGAGTCGGTAATGGGCTTGAGAGACCTTGATTTATAAATGTTTGTAGTCCAACTACTGTCATCCTTTGGCATCTGTGGGGGATTGGGTACAGGACCCCTCCCTCACCCCTCTACCACCACTGATACCAAATTCCATGGATGCTCAAGTCCCTTATGTAAAATGGTGCAGTATTTGTGTATAACCTATGTACATTCTCCCATATACTTTAAATCATTTCTAGATTACTTACAATAACTAATACAATATAAATGCTATGTGAATCATTCTATTGTCTAGGGGATAATGAGAAGAAAAAAACATATATGTTCAGTACAGACAAAACCATCCTTTTTCTTTTCAAATATTTTGCATTCATGGTTGGTTGAATCCACGGATATTAATCCCGCAGATATAGAGGGCCTACTGAAAATAATGATTCAGTTTAGATCTTTTTTGAGAGTAAAGGGACACAATTTTATCCCCCCCCCCCCAACTTTTTGTTTGGAAAAGTTGTAAAGATGAGGAAAAATTATAGAATGAACACCCATATGCCTTTTACATAGAATAATGTAATGAACACCTATATGCCTTTTACATAGACTCCCCAACTGTTAACATTGTGTCATGTTTACTCTCTCTCTCTGTGCACATTAACATACGAACACCCTTAGGTTTGTTTTTTTCTGAATCATTGGAGAGTAAGTTACTCTCCAATCATAACACTTTACTCCTAAATTTCAACATAAAGACATCATAACACTTTACTCCTATATTTCAACATATATCTGCTAAAAACGAAGATATTCTCCTACATAATCAGAATTATGTTCACTCAAGAAATTTATATTATATCTAGTTTATATATTGCCTAATTCTGAGTATACATTACCCTAATTATCCCAATAATATCCTTCATAGCTGTGGATATTTTGTAAAAGTCCAGAATCCAACCACGGATCACAGATTATATTTATATTTAGTTTTCATGCCTGTTTAGTCACCTTAATTGGTCCTGCCCCCTGCCTCCCTTCTTTTGAGAAACAGGGTCTTGCTCTGCCACCCAGGCTGGAGTGCAGTGGTGCAATCACGACTCATTGCAGCCTCAACTTCCTCAGCTCAAGCCGTCCTCCCACCTCAACTCCCCAAGTAGCTGGGACCACAGGCATGCGCCACCATGCCTGCCTAATTTTTTTATTTTGTAGAGCTGGGGTCTCCCCGTGTTGCCCAGGTTGGTCCTGCCCTTTTTTGGGTATTATATGACATTTTTTCAAGAGTACAGAAAAGTTGTTACAGAGAATATCCCCCAATTTGGATTTGCCTGATTGTTTCTTTATGATTGGACTCAGGATAAATGTTTCTGGCAAGAATACTATATAGGTGGTGCTCAGTCCTTTAGGATAGGCACTTGGAAGGCACATGATGTCACTTTGTCCCATACTTGTTTATAAAGTGTCCACCAGATTTCTCCATTGTAAAGGTACCTTTTCCCCATGGTAATTAATACATAATCCATGGTGTTTAGTGGTTACCTTTTTAATAGTTTTAAAAACCATATGCCATTGGTCATGGGAGAAATTGTATGGAATAGATTATGAACACATTAGTAAAGAGTTATTGCCACTGATGGAAAGATAATTTTAGACATTTGTTATTCTGAGGAATGGAGGGGAGGTAGCAAAGTAAGAAATGGGCTCTCATGAAGACAGACTTGTGTTTGAGTACAGCTCTACACCTGAACCTATGCAACCTTAAAAATGTTACTTAACTTCTTAGATGCTCAATTTCTTTTCTAAAATAGAGATAATACTCATACCGGGCAAGATTGTTAAGATGATTAAATGAGATAGTGCAGGAGCAGCCTGTAGCCTAGCAGCTGCCCCAGGGCCATTGCATGGGAGACAAGGAGATCCTTCCAGAGCACAGTTTGCTGGATGTATTCATCTTTAGACTTATTCATGAGCCTTCCTTCTTGGGATTAGTTTAAAATATTCAGGCATGTTGTTGGGAAAATGTGATCAACAGGTTAGGTGCCTTTGTGAAATTTCAAAGAAAGGAATTAAGAATTTGGAGATTTTTGGTATCATTTTCAGACATCTTAAATATAACTTACCTGTAGTAGATTTGTATAGAATCAAATTGCCATTTACTCAGACCTTTTTCTGACTGGAATCCATTTTACTTTATTATAAGGGATTTTTTTAAACACAGTTTATATGTAGTCTGATTGAGAACAGTGAATCATAATAATCCTGTGACCCATTTACATGCGTTACTGTAAAAGTTTCATTTCGTACAAGTGACAATTTTTAAAAGTTAATTAGACTTGGCTACACGGAGGTTAGCAAAAAGTGCTTTGAATTATCAATAATTCAGCAGGGCAGACATTTCTGTATAATGCAGTGGTTTTATAGAGTATTGTGAGATAGTTATCCTTAAAATAAATGGTTGTGAGCATACATCAGCATGGCGGGGTTCGCTTGAATGTAGCGTGAAGTGATAACATCTATGCTTTCTATTATTGGACAGAGCGCGGGACATCAGTCTTTCTGGCCATGAACTACTAGCAACCTTTGTCCTTTGTGTTACCTTTAGTTAAAAACGAAAAATGAGCATGAATGCTGGCTGATGGCCATGTCTCTCTCACAGCTAAAAATTCATCTGGGAAAGAAAAATGGGTTTGGAGATTTGGATTTGTTTCATTGCATGAATGATATGTGACATTCTGTAAATTATTTATCAGTGCAAGGATGACAGCAGTAGCTTGAACATTGTTATATCAAATGAAAGCAGGAATCCCGTTAGTAAGAGGACCGGGTTTTAGCTCAAATCTATCAGGGGAATGTTGTCACTTTAAAGCCAGATTGTTCTTTTAATTGCTATTTAAAGGAACAAAAGTGTTCCCAAGGTACTGCAGTTGAGCAGTTGCAAGTAATAACTATGGATCCATAATTATGCAGTGCTGATTATCTGGCATTTAAAAAACTGTGGCTACAGTCAGTGACCAATTTGTTATAGCTTGTCTCTTTTCGTTTTTCTAGTACAGAATGTTTTATAATCTACTTTTTAACTGGGGCTACAGAAATACATTTGCATAGCTACCTCAGAACGTAAAGCCTGTGCATATTATAAGAACAAATTAAGCTGAAAGTAAAGGGAAGATAATGAATGCCCTTGTAAGATGAGATTTGCAGTCATATTAAACAATTTGTGAATGTTTGGTCATGAGATGGTTTTTTGTTTTTGATGACATGTTGTCCCAAGGAACTAAGGCATTTGTTGGAATCATTATAACCATTGATTTTTTTTGTTCTTAACTAGCATATATTTCCTTCATGTATTCAGTTAGCAGATATATTTTGAGTGCCTACTATGCACCAGGAAATGCATTAGGCATTTGGGCTAGAGTGGCTGAACAAATGAAGTTTATTCTATGCTGATGTATATTTAGAGAGTTAGACCTAGCAAAATCTTGTTTTTAATTTACATTTAAAAACATTTGTGATTATGTTGGGTGTTCTTGCTCTGAATTTTTGATTCATGAGATTCAAATATAGAGACATCATAGTAACATTCAGATGGCTAGCAGACAACATGTGTGAAGGCTTGGAATATGCGGTAAAATTACAGTTTTCGTAGTTTTGGCTGTTGAAAATAATGTGACCAGATCTGTAGGCACTGTCAGCTATTCCTATGGATGGGAATACTAGCATTGCTGATAGTAGTAAATAACAATGGAAATACTAAAATGTATGTAGATTTATACATTGTTAAAAGCAATTTTCATACGAGAGTTAAAGGGTGCTAGGGGACTAGACAAATGTTTTGTTGTTTCTTATATAAAGTGGGAATGTCAGGCCGGGCTCGGTGGCTCACGCCTGTAATCCCAGCACTTTGGGAGGCTGAGGCGGGCGGATCATGAGGTCAGAAGATCGAGACCATCCTGACCAACATGGTGAAACCCCATCTCTACTAAAAATATAAAAATTAGCCGGGTTTGGTGGCACGCGCCTGTAGTCCCAGCTACTCAGGAGGCCGAGGCAAGAGAATCACTTGAACCTGGGAGGCAGAGGTTGCAGTGAGCCAAGATCACACCATTGCACTCCAGGCTGGCGACAGAGTGAGACTCTGTCTATAAATAAATAAATAAATAAATAAATAAATAAATAAGGTGAGAATGTCAGAGATTCAAGGTTTATCTTTTTTGTTTGGTATGGTGTGGTTTACTTTTGAAGACCTTCGTGGCACAAAAGCCTTGTTAATAATGACCTTTTCAAGTGTCCCACAGAATCCTGCTCATTCTATTATTCTGTCACCTAAAAACATATAGATATTTTATGTCAAATATTTAGTAGGTGAATAATAGCAATCTGCGCTGCAATATTTAATAAAGTCTTAACAGTCTATACATGATATTCATAGACTATAATGCTGAACGAATAATTTATTTTAAGCATATAGATAATAGAAACAATTGAGATGTCCAATGAATCCTTAATTATGTTCATTTCAGGCAAGCTATATAATATATAAAGGTATTAGATTTCACTGGTTTAATAAAAATGACTTCTGAGTCATACATTATACTGAAATGTATTCAGGTAGTACTTTAGTGTCAAATAATTTAAGAGATTTATCCCAGCACTTTGGGAGGCTGAGGCAGGTGGATTATGAGGTCAGGAGATCGAGACCATCCTGGCCAACATGGTGAAACCCCATCTCTACTAAAATACAAAAAATTAGCCAGGCATAGTGGCGCGCATCTGTAATCCCAGATACTCGGGAGGCTGAGGCAGGGGAATCGCTTGAACCCGGGAGGTGGAGGTTGCAATGAGCCGAGATTGTGCCACTGCACTACAACCTGGCGACAGAGCGAGACTTCGTCTCAAAAATAATATAAGAGTTTTTTTACTAGCAGAAAGTGTTTATTTAAATACGTTATTTAGCAGTTTTTCTTTGTTAAAGAAAGAAGAAGCTTTAAGTGAAAAATGTAAAAAGCTTTTGATTTTAATGTTTTTACTTTTGAAATGGAAAAGTGACAGTATTTTTTATTTTAATTTTGTCATAGCCCCGTGCTGATCCCATTCCAATATGTAGCTTCTGTTTGGGGACTAAAGAATCAAATCGTGAAAAGAAACCAGAAGAACTCCTCTCTTGTGCAGATTGTGGCAGTAGTGGTAAGTTGTGTTTTTCCTATGTGTTGTACAATGACTTCCCATTATCATAGCTTCATGCTATTTGTCTCTCTATTAAAACTGTATTGTTATTTAAGGCAGTTATATGGTAATAGCATAGGCTTTAAATTTTAAAAGAAAAAGTAAGGAATAGAGAAAAAAGCGTGAGTATGTTAGTACTGACATATGGATATTATATATGCTTATATAATACTATACATATTTATGATTAAGCTTTTATTTTATACCAGCATTGGTAATTCAGTGTGGAGATGTCTGCATTATAGGTAAATTCCATGTAGAGAATTCTAAGCTTTCAAGCTGAGTACAACCCCATCTTTAAAAATTAATAGCAAAAAATAAGTAAAAATTAAGCTTTTTCTGTTAATCTTCAAATTTTTTCCCCAGACTACCCAAACTTTTTTCTCCAAAGTCTTGTTTTAAAATTCATGACTATTTCTCTAGTTATAGTAATCTCTAAAAAAAAAAAACAAAAACAAAAATCGACAGAACACCATAGCTAATTCTTGTTTGGGAAGTCTTGAGATATACTGGCTAGGAGCAAACTCAAGAGCCAGCCATAGCCCAGTTCCTCTGCCTTGAGTTAGTTACTTGATCATTCTGAGCCCCTGTTTCCTCATTAGAAAATTAGAGATAATGGCAGCACCATCCTCTTGGGTTTTATGGGAATGAAATGTGAGGGCACAAGTAAACACCCTGGCACAAGGTCTGCAGAACTATGGTAAGTGTACTACAAATGTCAGCAGTGTTATGGTTTAGCATGTTTGATATTGTTATCCTTGATTGCTGCACGTAATTTAAAATCTTATCATCACTTATGACAGCTGCTTGATGGTTGGGTAGAAGAAATGTTTCATGCTGAGGAATGACAGTGTTGTGTAATGATTCTTATTCCTTATATGAAGGTTTAACGTGATAGGCCCTTTGTGGTTCAGCAGCTTTCAGGTGCTGACTAGAAGGGAGAGCCTTGGAAATAAGACATTTCAAACCCTGCTTGAAAAATGCATTCTGACAGTCTTTTTGATGGGCTTTACAGATTCATTAAAATTCTTTTACCTGGCCATGGCATCATGGATAGTGACAAAAGGGCATGGAAACATTATCTGTACGTTCAGTTTAATACATTTCAGCCCCACGATATCCCTGTTTTATGCTGGTGAGGTAGTGCCTCACTCATCAGTTCTGACTCTGTCGTTATCTTTTGGGTTTTCTCACGAGGCTCATTCTGAATGAATTATTCTTTTGTGTAACTGCCTGATCAATTTAGTGGTGTTCACTTGTCTAGGGTTTACCCTTTGTGGCTTTTAAGGTGGTACTTTAAAAACACCCTTCCCTGTTTTTATTTCTTTAGGATCTATTTGTCTGGGTGCCTAGACAGATTAAAGATGTACTTAAATGTGGGAAGAAAAGTTCCCTTCATATATTTCCTTACCTCTGGTGATACACTTACTTGAGTTGATAAGAAGTTCGAGATCATTATCTTCTAGATCATAACTTCAAGGCCTCCTTCACAGGGTATAAAGGTGTAATTCTAAACAGGTAGATCTTAGATTTTCTGATGTAATCAATCTCCCTTTGTCTTTCCCGGATTGAAGACCTGCCAGAGGGGAGGTTGATCTCCTTTATGTTTGAGGTCACTGAAAATTTCTTTCCCCTGGTGTTTCTTACTTTTCGCTCAGACTTTTTCAGGGTAAAGCCAGGGGTGTTTAGGTACAGTGTTATGTTTTCTCTGTTCAAAAATATCCTCTTGTTTTCTCTTTTAACAAATGGAGAATAATGACTTGAGGATACTGTCCAGAGGGTTTATGTGGCTGGTGTGGTTTTGTGAGCCAGTCTTCAAGTGGAGAGAGCCAGAGGCTTTGGGGCCAAGGTATGGGTCATGGCAGAAATTCAAGCCCTGGGGTCACCATGTCTCTTTGTTGGGGATAAAGGATGCCTCAGAGTGCTTCTCTGGACTCTGCGATGGGATCCGGCTCTAGTGTTGAAGTTCACTTAATCTTCCCTTGAGTGTGCTGTGCCAGCCTGGATTTGGCTGCTTTAGTCAAAAAAACTATTGTTCCTAACGCAGGGAAATGCTTTGTACATATTTATTCATCTGATAAATCAGAAGAATAGACTTTGTTGTTTTTTCCTCTTTAAATTGAAGGGTCAAAATAAAATATAGTTCATTTTAGGGAGTTTGGGGGTTCTTGTGGTTCTAAGGCTCTGTTTTGACACCTTGGTAATTCTAAGGAAAAAAGAAAACAATAGGCCAGCATACCTCAACAGTGTCCTCAAATAATGGCGGGAGCCCTGTTGTCACAGTTCAGCATTTCAAGTGGGAATTACAGATTAGTTGGGACTCCTAGTTGACCTTATGGAAATGGCTGCCTTCTCACTCTCAGAAGAGTCTATTGGTTCTGGGATTGAATTGAGACCGTTCATAATGTTCAAAGGGATCCCAAAATGTAAGTTGTTTATGTGAAAAAATACCCATAGCAGCATAAAACCAGAAAAAGGAAATATAGATGGCAGCCTGTGGGGAGGATCATTCTTAAATGTGTTTCCCATATGTGCCTGATGCTTTTCAGTCGTCCCTATCTGAAGTACCATTCATATGATGTCACATTTAGACTCCGCTTAGATTTCATAGATGAGAGTAATAAATGTATCCTTCTGCTTACATCATAAAGTAAAGCCAATTAGAAATTTATCTGTTTTTAAAGGGGCTCGATGCTTTAAATGGGCAGTATTTTCTTTAACAGTTTTTTTTTCTACTAAAAATTCTTTAAAAAAAAAAATCATTCAAGTTTATATGTAGTAAAAACGTGAGGTGAGGTATGTAGTGCCCGGAGCTCTGAATGTGGTGTCCCTAGCCTGGGTTCCAGTTCTCTTCCGCCACTTGCTGGGTGTGTAACTTTGGTTTTCCTCATCTGTGGGGTGTAAAGGAGAATGTCTGCACCCTCCATCCACAGAGCTATTGTGGGATCCAGTGAGAAAATGATAGGAAGATGATCAGTAACTGTAAAACATGAGACAAATGTGAAGGATTATTCCAGCCACTAATATGAATGTGGGAATCATCAGATAGTCTAGGTCTGTGGAAGTGTTAGAAATGATTTTACTTGACTTTCATGGATCAGCCTACTTTGAAATTAACACTGTTATATTCTCTTTGCCTCATTAAGACCAAATTATCTTTAATTAGCTTCACATAAGTATTAGATATTATACCAAATGAAATTTTGTGTCTGCTGCTCAGATTGCTGGGTGGTTAAATCTTACTTACAGATGAGTTGTGTGCATGTGTGTTTTCAAATTAGCAAATCTAAGATAAGTGTACAGTTCAAAATTACAGCATCATTCTAAGTGGAAGCTCATTGAAACGGGAGACAGAAGAAAGGCTGCTGTGATGCAGCTGGGTGAGTGAGAGAAATCCCTTTTGTACAATAAAGGGAGCAAGAGCCGTGGAGTAGAATATCAGTGCACCCTCGGGAGACCTGAAGTCTTCCCTGGGTTTGTCTTTATTTGTGTGTTAACCCTGAACAAAATTTGCATGCTCATGGAGGGAACTGGTAGGGGCAGTGTGTGGATATATGGACATATAAAAATATTTTAAAAGACCACTAGTTTCTTAAGGTCACCCCAGGAGTTGGTTGCTTAGTCATCCAGTTTCACATTGACTAGATGCAGATTGAATCATTAGGTTGGAAAGAAGACTCTTGACTAGAAAGAAACCTAAAGATATGATCCAAAGAAGAAAAGAGGCCAGGCGCTGTGGCTCACGCCTGTAGTCCCAGCACTTTGGGAGGCCAAGGCAGGTGGATCACCTGAGGTCAGGAGTTCAAGACTAGCCTGGCCAACATGGTGAAACCCCATCCCTACTAAAAAAAGGAAAAAAAAAAAATTAGCCGGGCATGGTAGCGCATCCTGTAATCCCAGCTACTCGGAAGGCTGAGGCAGGAGAATGGCTTGAAGCCGGGAGGCGGAGGTTGAGGTGAGCCGAGATTGCACCACTGCACTCCAGCCTAGGTGACAAGAGTGAAACTCTGTCTCAAAAAATAAAAATAAAAAAACAAAGCAGAAAAGATTGGGGGTTGGGGGAAAGAAGGTGAGCCCCATCCCTGCAAAAGCCCAAAGCATGATTGACCATCCAAAGAGATGTAACTTCACTAAAACTGTGCTTGTCTGGGTAATAGTGACCTCTTTGTAGCAAAATCTAATGATCATTTTTAAGTGTTTATCAAAATCTAATTGGTATCTTTTAATCCACACCAAATAATTTCTCTTAGTCATATTTGATCTTGTAGAGAATCTTTTTTCTTGAAGTGTTCTTTTCCTTTGGCCCCTGTGACACCATATTATCTGTGTTTTTTCTCTACCACTTCTTTCCACATATTTTTGTTAGCCCCTTGGTCCTCTCTCCATTCCCTAAATGTTTCTTCAGATGTCTGTCGTGGCCCTGTGTTTGTTACTTTGCCTTGTAGCTTCTACTGAGCTTCTGACCCTAGATACAAATAACTATAGAGCTTTTCCAACGAGTCTACCCCCGAGGCACCTCAAAGTTAATATCCAGAACAGCTCATCAACCTTGCACTGCTTCCTCCACCCAAAACAACAGCCACAACAATAACAACAGAAATCCCAGCAAACAAACAGTATCCCACCTCTCCTGGAGGATTTCCTATATTCAGCAAGTGGCACACCGTTCGCTACTCACTCAGTTACACAAACTAGACATTTGGAGCCATCCTCTGTCCTATTCTTTCACACCAAGGAATCACCAAAAACACATTGATTCTAAATCATAATATGTATCTTGAATGCTAAATTTATCGATGCATCCCCACCAGCCAGCCCCACTCAGATCTGCTGTTATAATGACCTCAATCTAGGCTTCACCCTTTTTCCTCCAATCCATTTTCCATACTATAGCCTAAGTTACCTTTTTAAGTTATAAATCTGATCACATAATTTCATAAGTGGCTATCAGTTGCTCTTAGGAGAAATCCATATTCTTTAATATAGCCCCCAAAAACTTCTGGATTGGGCTCTGGTTTAACCCCATCTTACATCACTATTCTGTTCACATTCTGCACATTGGTTACATTGAACAACTTCTCTCTCCTTGGATATACCTCGTTCATCTCTCCCTCTGTTCATGCCATCTTCCCTGCTCTTCCCCTCTTCTGGTCCCATCCAATCACATTCATCTTTTGGGTCTCTTTTTTAGGGAGGCCTTTCTCTAACTTCCTGCTAGATTCTCCCATATCCCTAAGCCACCCCATTGTAAGGCATTAATGCTCATTCTTGTTTAATGTTTGTCTTTCCTGCTGGGCTATGTGATCTGGAAGGGTGGGAACCATGCCTCTCCTTTTCCTCACTGTATCCAGTGCTCATTAAATATTAGTTGAAGGGAGGAGAGATGGACAGATGGATGGTCAGGTAGCCAGTCTGAGGGGCTTAGTGTCTGAGTCGTTATTAGTTTTCCATTGCTACTGGAATAAATTACTACAGACTTAGTGGCTTAAAAACAACACATTTTTAATCTTATAGTTGTAGGTTGGAAGTCCATCATGGGTCTCACCAGATTAAAATCGGGGTATCAGCAGGGCTGGCTCCTCTCTGGAGACTTTAAGTGAGGATCCATGTTCTTTTTTTTTTTTTTGAGATGGAGTCTCACTCTGATGCCCAGGCTGGAGTGCAGTGGCGTGATCTCGGTTCACTGCAAGCTCCGCCTCCCGGGTTCACGCCATTCTTCCACCTCAGCCTCCCGAGTAGCTGGGACTACAGGCGCCCGCCACCACGCCCGGCCAATTTTCTGTATTTTTTTTTTTTTTTAGTAGAGACGGGGTTTCACCATGTTAGCCAGGATGGTCCTGATCTCCTGACCTCGTGATCCACCCGCCTTGGCCTCCCAAAGTTCTGGGAAGGAGAGGATCCATGTTCTTATCCATCTGGGTTATTGGCAGAATTCAATTCCTTGTGTTGACAGGACCGAGATCCTGGTTTTCTTGCTGTCAGGTGAAGGTCATGGCCAGGTTCTACAGGCCACCCACATTCCCCGGCTTGCAGCCCCCTCCCCATCTTGAAAGCCTGTGATAGCAGGTGGAGTCTCTCTCATGCTTTGAACCCTTCCTCCTCCTTTTGCCATTTCATTTCTAACCAAGTCCGTAAAAGGTTCTCTGCTTTTAAGGATTAATGTGATTAGATCAATCATGCCCACTCAGATAATCCAGGATAAACTCCCCATCTCTAGGTCGGTACCCCTAGTCACTTCTGCAGAGTTCTTTTTGCTACAACAGGTATAGTATGTTTACAGGTTATGGGAATTAGAGCACAGATGGCTGGGGCGCTGCTGTTGTTGTGCTTACTACAGAGCCTGTGTTTTTTCTTCCTCAGTACTTTCTCCAAAAAGCTTTTCCACTGGTTTGTAGTTCCATTGGTACTTGTTTAATTTTAAATAGTATTCCTTTGGTTTTGCTAGATAAAACTATTGTAAGCTACTAGTACTTGACAATGTATTTGTGTAAAATTGAATGAGTGAATGAATATGTATTATGGCTCTCAAATCTGATAAATTGCAAAATACAATAGTAAAACAAACTCCAGAAAGACAAAGCACCATGAAACGTGTCAACAGAGAGAACAAGAATTTTAGAGGAAATTAGCTGGACGTGGTGGGGTGTGTCAGTAGTCCCAGCACTTTGGGAGGCCAAGGCTGGTGGATTCTTGAGGCCAGGAATTCAAGACCAGCCTGGCCAACATGGCAAAACCCCATCTCTACCAAAAAAATACAAAACAATTAGCCGGGCTTGGTGATGCGTGCCTGTAGTCCCAGCTACTCGAGAGGCTGAGGTGACAGCACTGCTTGAGTCTGGGAGGCTAAGGTTGCAGTGAGCCGTGATCATGCCACCGCACTCCAGCCTGGGCAACAGAGTAAGACCCTGTCTCAAAAATAAAAAAATAGGCTGGGCGCTGTGGCTCACACCTGTAATCCCAGCACTTTGGGAGGCTGAGGCAGGTGGATCACAAGGTCAGGAGATCAAGACCATCCTGGCTAACACAGTGAAACCCTGTCTGTACTAAAAATACAAAAACAAAATTAGCCAGGCATAGTGGCGGGCGCCTCTAGTCCCAGCTACTAAGGAGGCTGAGGCGGGAGAATGTCGTGAACCTGGGAGGTGGAGCTTGCAGTGAGCCAAGATGACGCCACTGCACTCCAGCCTGGGCAACAGAGCGAGACTCCGTCTCAAAAAAAAAAAAAAAATTAAAGTGTTAGAGGAAATTGTTGAGTTTATGAAATCGCTAAACCAGAGGTAAGGAATTACTTGATCAGTAGCATTGCTTTCCTTTATCTAATTACTATAGATTGTGCAGTAGTATATCAAGACACGTTACGGTCTTTTGTGTTATTTTAAAGTTGGCCATGAGAAAATAAAATGGAAATATTTCTTCATCCCTCAGCATCCTTTACAGAATCATAGAAATTTAGAACTGTAAGGGATCTATGGCCAATTCTCTTGAGCTAAATAAAGGTAAGATTGCTGCCTAAAGGAAAGATAGGCTGAAGATTTTAGAATTTGATAGGGTAGCTTAAATAGTAGTAGTTGAGATACAGTATTGCTTAAAGTGAGAGAAACCATTAAGAGAAAGAATATTCCTTGCCCCTGATTGAAAATGGCTGAAATCCACTAATTTTCAAACTGCATAATTATTAAAAAGTCTGTCTTTCATAAGATACCTGTGAGAATAAATAGTAAGCTGTAATATGATGTGAATTACCTTAGTTACTGAATATTAAGTCACAAAGTACAAAAGCAGATTTGAATGTAGAGAAAAATTCAGTGCGTGAAATTGAGGTCATATGTGCCCATGATATATGCCTTACAGGAAGTAATAAAAAAGAGGGGGGAAGTAAGTGGTATACTTTTAAGCTGATGGGATCCATTTTAAGGGTGGAATTTAAATTGCTGTTCTTTAAAAGTTAAGTTTTTACCCTCCTCACTATATAAGGGGACAGAGGGGAGGGCTCTGATCAAAGTAGACCTCTCCCCTCCCCGCTTCAGTGTGCTTCTTAGAAGTCGACAAGCAAGCTGTCTTTGTTTGCCGTTCCTGAGCAGAAAGAGGAGATTGATACCATTTTTATCTATTCAGACTTTTTCCTTGCATTCATTTGAATGAGAGAAGCCTCATAAAAGAACAGTGTCACAGGTTAAATGCATCTGCCTGGGTGTCTCTCCTGCCTGAGGTCATAATCCTGTGACAATATTTTATTTTCTCAACATCTTAAATACAGATGTTTAGAGTTTTTTTTTTTTAACTCAGGAATAGTGTGCTTTTATTAACGGTATTGGTGATTGATTTTGAATGTTTTTACTTCAAAAAGCCAAATCTCCTGGTGGGTGGAATTTTATGAAGCACCTGTTAAGCTTTAGGGAGGAGGACCTTTTTGGCAGCAATCCAAAATACATATTTAAACAATGAGCCTGCCAAAGTCAGGAAATTATAAAACAGTTTTGAAATTGCAGAATCTGCTTTTTTTTATTACCCCTCAGGTTTCCTTTGCAGCTTGGTTGTAAGTTCTTTCACATGGGATTTACTAATGTTCTTACTATTTAAAGACCAGGTTTAAAAAAATAAAATCAAGTTTGGAGATCTCTTCGGGTTTATGTGATAAAAGACCATTAGATTTTAAACTGTACAGCCTTCCAAAGAATCTAGGCTCACGCTCCGCACACCTCTTGGAGGAATCTATTACACACTGGCTCATGGCTGGCTCCTTTGAATGGCATTGCCCCTCAGGGTCTCCAGTTTTCCTCTGTGAAGTGAGCAGTAAGACCTGGTGTGTGGAGCGCTGCTAGGTGAAAAGTGTGCCCCAAACAGGAAAATGGGGGAACCTGCTGAGGCCACACTTCTTGGTGGGTCCTGTTTAACCTGGATCTCTCAGCTTCTTAACTCTGTCTCTCAAATTCACTGTTTTCTGCTCCTGCTTCCAGAGTTTAAACTCAGTGACCCAGGGGCAAGATGGCAATGGAATATCCTCTGTCTAGCCCAGCAATGGGATGTTCTTTGTGTGCTATTGGATTTGGGTGGGGGAGGGCATCTGTAGTTATGTTAAGCAGCCTCAATTTTTTATTTAGTTATCTGTTGAGTTTTATGATTTCATCACACACAGAGAGCAGGAATTGTTTGAACTTTGGCAACTCCCCTCAGTGTGTGGCAAACCAGGACCCCCTGGGTAGATGGTGGTTGATGAAGACGGCAAGTACAGGTGCAGGAGTAAGAATGCCTGAGCCTGTGTTATCTTCAAGTTCTCAAAGGCTTCAGATTGGAATTGGTATAAATTAAGTTCTCTTAGGGAAAACATTCGTACAGTCATTTTGTTACATACAGGGAAAGAAGGCAAGGGGAAAAGGCAGAAAGGAAAATCTGTAATTCGGATTCTCTGATCTGTTGGCATTTTCAAGTTCCTAAGGTTCATTGGCTAGCCTCATCAGCTATCTATTAAATATTAGGGAATGGGAGTTTAAAAAAGTCAAAGGCACCATTCCCATCAAGCAATTTGCTTTTTATTCTCATAGGACACCCATCCTGTTTGAAATTTTGTCCTGAATTAACAACAAATGTAAAGGCCTTAAGGTGGCAGTGCATCGAATGCAAGACATGCAGTGCCTGTAGAGTCCAAGGCAGAAATGCTGTAAGTATGGCTCCCGTAATCCGCCTCCAGGTAACTCGCTAATTTCCAGTGTTAAGGTGTTTTCATTTTTATAGAGTATGGCTACTTTCTTTCTAAAGCTTTAAATACACATGATGTCAAACTGCAACCAGGATCTTGGTGCACTTTCCTTATATTGTATTAATGTTAATCCAGTAACAAAAGAATTTTTGGCCTTTTACAGTTGGTTTCAGTCTCAATTAGTCTCTAATATGTTATATTACAGGATAATATGCTTTTTTGTGATTCCTGTGATAGAGGATTTCATATGGAATGCTGTGACCCACCACTTTCCAGAATGCCAAAAGGTGAACTTCTAAACTGTACTAAAAATGTATTTTATTACATATTGGTTAGCTTTGTCCTGAGGTCTGACAGCTCAGAGGTATACAGGTTCTTTAAGCATTTTTTTCATCCCTCCCACCTTCCCTATACTTCTGAGTTTAGCACAGGTTGTGAATAGAGGAGTATAAAAGCATAGAAAAAAATACATATATATATGTGTATATATATACATATATATAAAATAAAGGCTCTAATTCAGACCCAGGGATGAAAAGACCATCTCTCTCTCCAAACCATTCCCCTATTAGAATAAGATTAGATTATTAAGGTCAAAAGTTTAGAACACTTTCCATATTATTCAGCACAGTGTTAAGAGCTTAACAAATTTTATATTTTTGAGGATGATAGTGACTCCAAAGTCCTACAACAGGAAGCCATCACCATTTTCTTGGCCATTAGTTGATATTTTGAACACGAGCATCTGAATGATCTTATAGCTGATTGTGTCTGATGGAATGTGGATTTTCTTCTGTTTATTGTGTAAATCAGCTAAGCTCAGCCTTTTCCCCTCATTTTGCAATATATTAAACATTTAAAAATAACTTTGCCTTTTTATTATAAAATCCATAATTTACATTGTGGAAGATTTAAAAAGTACAGATAGACAAAAAAGGAATAAAAATAAAAATGAATTGGAAATTTCCTTCTCTGCCTTCACATACCCTTTGAAGGGAAATGGAACATTCTGTACATGTTTTTGTAATGTACTTTTTCCTCCCTCTTAATAGATTATAAGCATCCCCTACATCATTAAATATTCTCCTAAACATAGTTTTTAATAAGTATGTAGAACTCCATAGTATAGAGCAGGGATTACAAACCTGGCAACTATGGGTCACAGATATGCTTTGTTGGTACAATATTTTTACAAGTTTGAATCTGAGTCCTCTGGGTGGTGCGTGTGTGCTCCAGTTTGCCACAATCTCACTACTCCCTGCTGTCTTACGTTCCAATTTGCTTCAGTCACATACATTATACAATCTAGGTCCTTCCTGGAGGTATTTGATTTTCCAACCCTCTATATAAATGAACTCTAATTTATTTAACCAGTCCCTTAGGGTGGATATTACAAATGTTTCCAATTTTTTCCATCCACAATTATTTCCTTGAAATAAATTCCTAGAGGAGGAACTGTTGGATCAAAGGCTAGATACATGAAAGGCTGTATCAGTTTTCAGGCTGTCCAGCAGTATAGAAGGATACCTATTTTCCTGTATTGTGACCAGTACTCACCGTTACTATATCTCCTTGAGTCTAAGACACATTTTTTTAATGTTTTAATATTTTTGAAGTCAGATGCATCATACAGTATCTTAGATTTGATTAGAGTATTATTATTTTTAAAATTTTACCAGTTTGATAATAGAAATATGTCTGATTATTTCTTTTTAAGTAGTCAGATTGAACATTTCTTGTGTTTTATTCTTGGCTGTTTGTATATCATCTTTTCTAAAGTACCTCTTTTTATCCATTAATCATTTTTCTCTTGGGATTTTTACCTTTTTCTTCCTGATTTGCAGAAGCTCTTTTTTTGTGTGTAGTCATATTCATGAATCTTTTTATTTATGGCTTCAGTTTTAAATGTCAGTCATGCTTAGATTATATAAATATCCACATATCTTTCCTGGTACTTATAACATTTTATTTTTTCATATTACAATATTCATCTGTCTAGAATTTATTCTTGTAAAGGATAGGAAATAATTCCTCTTCCAGATAGATAGCTATTTGTTCTATCATGCTTATTGAATCATTTCATCCTTTCTCCACTGATTTAAAATATGACCTTTTGATATGCTAAACTTTTCTGTAGGCTTTGGTTGTTCTGGTCTTTCCATTCTTATCCATTGACCTATTTCTCTATGCTAGATGTATAGTTTGAATCATTGTAGTTCTGCAGTACTCAAAACTTTTATTTAAATTTTAAAATTATATTTTATACTGATAATTTTTTTTTAGTGTTGGAACTTTCCAGAAAGAGATGATAAGACAATTTTTTTTTCTTCTAGAAATTCCAAAAATGGACTGATTTGAAAATGTCTCCCTCAAATCAAAAGATATAATATCTGACAGGGGCGAGTTTTCATGTGTGTTTATGTGTTGGTGAGAGGCTTAATGACATGTTGGGAACAGCTTCATGGAAGGATTCTGAGAGAGGGGCCACCTCTGCCCTCACCACCTTCACTCCAGGGAAATTGACCTTAGTGATGGCTTCCTAAGGAAAATGACAAAGGGAATGACGCATTTTTTGGAGTAAAGTTCAGCATACAGGCATCCTTGAGCAGCTTATTACAGCTACAACTTATATTTAATATCTTCTCTTAAAATGAAACATTAAAATATTTTTCTCATATATATATTAATTCAGGGATGTGGATTTGCCAAGTCTGCAGACCAAAGAAAAAGGGAAGAAAACTACTTCATGAGAAAGCTGCACAAATAAAACGACGATATGCAAAACCCATTGGACGACCGAAAAATAAATTAAAGCAACGATTGTTGTAGGTTGAGATCTTATCAAAAGAAATCATTTATGTTTTGCTTTAAAATATAGGTGATTGTTATTCTCTCAGATTCCTTTAGGGGTTTTTTGGCATCATTTTTTCAAACTCAAGGGTTGAAAAATACTTTTCCTTTTGCATAAGCTGTGGAAATTTTTTGAAAATAACATTTTTAATTACCATTGGCATTTTGGGGTCTTCTGTTGGCAGTAGCTGTGATACTAAGTGACATTTTTCAAGCAGCAGGATGGAAGCAGAATGTAAGAATTGGAAACAGTCATTCAGCCTACTTTATTACTGGCTGAGCATTAGAGCTTAATTATGTAAATATTTTCATAGGAATTTTAAAACGAGAGGGATTTGTCCATGTCTATAGCAAATCTCTTTTGTCACTCCAGATAACATTTTAGAAAAATACCTCTCTCTTCTGATAGTAATGTAGCATTACCACTTTTTAAGATCTCTTTTATGAAATAGGAGCTTCTGAAAAACCTGCAGATGACCACTTACCTCTGAAGAGTTAGACAGAACTATTTGACAACTGCACTAGTGCAGACATATATATAAAATAATATATTCGCAGTGGCCTGGAAATCTACTATGATAACCCCATTTTCACTATCTTGTTGCTGTATAATTGCCATTAAAGCCCAGTAGAGCATTTAGCAGGAGTTAGTTGGAAAAGCAGAGAAAAGATAAGAGGTGAAATGAATTTATTTTAACCTGTGTAGAGTATAGATTTGACTATCAGCATTAAGGTGTTTACGAATGGGATCAGTAGACTTGCACATCTATAGCAGTTCTACCAACAGACTACCACCATCTTTTCAGGCTTAGTGAAAGGGTCATTGTGATGGAGAAAGAATACATGCTCTGCACACACCTTGAACAGACTCCAAGAATCTCACTCCCTTGCTTACTCCTTTTCCCCTAATTTTATCTGAAGCTGCTCTCACTATCTTATTTGCTCTCAGAAAAATAGTATTCTCCCGCACCTTTATCTCCTAAGAAGAAGTAAGAAATGCAGGCTCCTTTCTAGAGTTTTCTATGAAACTTTGCAAAAACCCTTTAACCAGTAGACATTTTCAATAGATTTTGAAAAAATTTCTAGAGGCAAACATGAAACATTTATGAATAAAATCTTTCATGGTAGTATCATTTGAAGTAGAAATTATATGTTTTTGCATTCATCCTGTGTAAGCATTGTTCCCAACATGGGTCCATATCCTCAGGGCCCAATTAAAAAAACCAAATTAGGATATAAACTTTCTAAACAGAGGACACAGCTGAAAATTGCATCTGGCACCAATCCTAACTTTTTGTTTGTCCAAAATTGTCCTTTGAGCTTAGGAATTTTTAAGACAGTCTAGGGAGTTTTCCTTTTTACATGCTTTATAAGCATATTATCCTTTCTGGGCAATCGATTCCAGATACAATCCAAATGCAGCTTTCTGATGTGAAACATTTTTGCCTGGATGAGTTCCTTGTTGGTAACTCTCACTGTGTCTCTAGTGACACTAGAGATCTCTAGCGTTCACCTGACTTGGCTGAATTGGTGGTGCCAGGCAGAGTCCCTGGCAGTAGAGCCACCTCAGATGAGCCTGGTAGCTGCACCTACCTCCCCTTCAACTAACAGCTGAAATCTGGTCATTAAATCTTTGTATACAAGATGATCACTAAAATATACTCTTGTATTTGTAATTACTTAAGATATTTTTATAATTCAGTATTGTATCTTTTTAAGGCTTTCATTTTGTCATTATTCACCTTTAGCTAAATTGATCATTTTGAAAGTACATTCTTGGGCCCCAGCATTGTCATAATTCATCTGCAAATGTTTCTCTATTGTATAAAACTCTGCTACAAAATGGGTAGCTTCGCAAACCCTAGCCTGAGGTGAAGACAGTCGGCCGCTGTTCATGTAAGCAGCTGTGTTAGCGAGTGACCTCTAGTTTCTAGAACTACTCAACAGTATGGGCAGAACCAGGGTACAAAGATTCTGACGCCAAGTGTCTGATAATGACCATGGTAAATGTGCCGCTTCTTCACCAGACTCTCCATGTCATGTCTGACCCGCTGTAGCTTTTCTTTAATCATTTCTTCAGTTTTTTGCTATTGTTGTCCTTTTTTCAGCAATATTTTATGCTGTAGTTAATTGTCTTCTCTCCTAAGAGAGTATTATTGGTTATCTTACCATCCTAAGCACAAACTGCTGAGAGGAAGAGGATGTCTTTTTATGTTTTCTTAAAAAAAAGTACAAATTTATAGCCATATCCAAACTCTATTTATATAAGTTTGCAAATTGAATTAAAAATTACTTTTAACTAGAGATTAGATAAGCTTCTTCTTTTGCTTCTGGATAACACATATGACTTATTTCCTCCTAATACTTTAAAAAAGACATTTCAGGAAATCATAACTACTTGTGACAACACCAAAGGATAGCTTGTTTTTATTTAATTATAATTAAAGCATTGGGTGTTCTTTTAGTCTCTTCAGCATTTTTCTTGCTTATATTGCCCTTGGGTCCACATGGATTCTTCCAGTACCTGGTGGATGGGCCCTGGAAGAACCATGACATGTAAATGCAGTTGCTGCTGCCTTTCCAACAGAGAAACATCTAGGTGGTGGCACACACAAAAAATACAGTTCTTAAGTTTAAGCCCATTGAATGCATCTAGTTGCAATAAATTTGTTTTTAGATACCTTTATAATTCTATTTATTAAATGCTGATACTATTCTCTAAATTTCTGCCTAGGTCTGTAACCAGTGATGAAGGATCCATGAATGCATTCACAGGAAGGGGGTCACCTGGTAGGGGTCAAAAGACTAAAGTCTGTACCACACCTTCATCTGGTCATGCTGCATCTGGGAAGGACTCAAGCAGCAGATTGGCTGTTACAGACCCCACTCGGCCTGGTGCCACCACCAAAATCACCACCACCTCCACCTACATTTCTGCCTCTACACTTAAAGTTAACAAGAAAACCAAAGGGCTCATTGATGGCCTTACTAAGTTTTTTACACCATCACCTGATGGTCGCAGATCACGAGGTGAAATTATAGACTTTTCAAAGCACTATCGTCCAAGGAAAAAGGTCTCTCAGAAACAGTCATGCACTTCTCATGTGTTGGCTACAGGTACCACACAAAAGCTAAAACCTCCACCTTCTTCACTTCCACCCCCAACCCCCATCTCCGGTCAGAGCCCCAGTTCACAAAAGTCCAGCACGGCCACTTCTTCTCCCTCTCCCCAGAGTTCTTCCAGCCAGTGCAGTGTGCCCTCCCTGAGCAGCCTTACCACTAACAGCCAGCTGAAGGCACTCTTTGATGGGCTTTCTCATATCTATACCACTCAGGGACAGTCTCGCAAAAAGGGACACCCGAGTTATGCACCACCCAAACGTATGCGTCGTAAAACTGAATTATCTTCCACGGCAAAATCTAAAGCCCACTTCTTTGGCAAAAGAGATATTAGAAGTCGGTTTATTTCTCACTCCTCCTCCTCTAGCTGGGGGATGGCTAGAGGAAGTATTTTTAAAGCAATTGCTCACTTCAAGCGAACAACTTTCCTTAAAAAGCACAGGATGCTAGGCAGATTAAAATATAAAGTGACCCCTCAGATGGGGACCCCCTCACCAGGGAAGGGGAGCTTGACAGACGGAAGGATTAAACCTGATCAGGATGATGGTAAGCAAAAGGTCAAAGCTCCAACCAAACCTGCGTCCCGTCCCTTTCTCCCCAACCCTGAAAAAAATCAACCAATCAATTCCTATTTGTCACATAGGTCTTAGCTATTTCTCTTGTTCTCACTTCACTTTCATACAGAAGCAGTGAAACTTTGACCTTTTTCTAATGCTGACTAAACCTCCAAAATGTTGTTTTTCCAACTAATACTCTCCCACCTTTTATTATTTATTTCCATTCGTAGTGACACTAGGACCCCCAGATGCCTTCATAGCATTGCTTATGGCTTTGTAGTCCCGCATGAGTAGCCACTGCCATGCTTCTGCCATGCTCTCCCCCATGTCACCTCTGCAGCCACAGCGCTGTTCAGTTGTGTGCTGTCAGTGCTTCCAACAGGGGGTGTTTCAGCTCTTCCCTCTGCTCCATTGCTTTCTCATGACAAAGTTCATCCTGCTTCCGTCTCAGCAAAGCCTGATCTGTGACTCTGTGATGTGTGCTTTTGGATGTGAGTGTGTCTGTGTGTGTATCCACCTTAGGGAGAAAACGGATTTCATAATTTCATTGAACAAATTGGCCCATTACATTTGCTACCCTTTATCAAACAAAAACCGAAACTGTGTCATTTGGACAAAGTGGTAGAATTTATTATCTCAAAAGTGATAATGGGAATGCTATAACTAGACATCGATAAAACTTCTAATCTTGGTTGAAAAATATGATTTCACTTTGTATTGCTCTTACTTTCCCTCATATATTTATTAAAGCTGTAAAAAGATGACAGTGATAAATTCAAATAAAAATTTGAGTATAGCAGGGAAAGGATACTGCTGGATCTATGAGCAGTGCTTAGATGTAAAAGCTTATTTATAAAGCTTTAAAAAAAATCCCTATTTGCCCAGTATGCTAATTTGGTGCCATTTTGGTAATATATGGTGGTTACTCATGATTCAAGTCAGTGAATACACTTTCTGCTGGTTTTAAATGACAGATACTGAAATAAAAATAAACATCAAACAAGAAAGTGCAGATGTAAATGTGATTGGAAACAAGGATGTCGTTACTGAAGAGGATTTGGATGTTTTTAAGCAGGCCCAGGAACTTTCTTGGGAGGTAAGGCGAGGATCCCACATTGTAGTAGCAAGTATAAGATGTGGCTTCTAACTATTAATATGGAATTACTGTGTTGATTTTATAGAGAATCCCTTTCAACATCCTTTGTGATTCTTTAGCCGTTATCATGCCCATTTCTACTGACTGTACATTCAAAAGCAATGACTTAGTAGAATTGTCGCCACTCTTAAAAGTAGGTATGGACTCAGCTGGTCTCACAAAATAAAACAGAGTAGCATTAGTTGAGGCAGATTTTGGAAAACATTTCTAGGTGTGAAGGAATAGATTTCTGATGAGTTTTGCCTAAATTTAGAAAATAACAATTTAAAATCATTAACAAAAAGAAGAACATCACTGTTAAATTCACCGATGTTTCTTCCAACACAGATGGCCAGCCATATGAAAAATGTCTCATATTTTTAGCTCTTCTGCATTGATGAAAACAATATTTTGTTTCACAATCAGTTGTAGTCAGTTTTATTTTTATTGTCCAGTAATTTCTTTAAGTGATTCCACTTTAATTCTGCTTAAGTTATTACCACCCAGATATTGACAGGTGAGGCTGTCAGACTTCTCAAAGACGAATCTAATATGAATTGTGAATTTGTTGTGTCAGTGACTACATTCGGTTTCTATGACCAGTGTGGTCAGGTAGACTCCCTACCCAACCCCACTTCCTGTTTTGTGGGGAAGGGGTTTTCTGTAGGCTCTTAACGCTTTATTTTTAGTAGCAGCCAGTTGGGCTAAATACTCCTGACAGTTTCTACCTTCAGAGCTATTGGGTATTTCCAACCCTCATTCTGCCCCGATCTATCAGGATGCCTTGTATCAGCTTTCCTTTGGCTAAGATAAATGTCAGATTTCCCCCAGTTATTAAGGTTGGAAGTCCTTGAACCAGCCCAGGTTGGAAATGGAGCAGGTCAAAACTCCTACGTTGATCAGTAGTGGGATTGTGCCCTTGAATGGCCACTTTACTCCAGCCTGGACAACACAGCAGGATGCCACCTCTTTTAAAAAAAGATTCGAAGTCCTTAAATATTATCTTTTTTTGGCCTACTTCTGACATTCATATGTAAACATGAACAGTAGGCCATTATCTGAAAGATACTGCTAATTCTAAAGTTTTTTCATTCCAACATGGTAAAACTGGCTTTTTTTATTCAAGAAATATTCTTGTTCTGTGTCAGGCACTGTACCAGACACCAGGGATACCACAGTGAATCTGGCAGGCAGAGTTCTTAACCTCGTGTGGCTTACTACATGGAAATAAGGGAAATAAGAGGAGACAAATGCTAAGCTGCAGATTTCACAATTGATTATTTAATTACAGTTGTGATAAATACTACTTCGTGGAGGAATAGGAAACTGTAAGCTTCTGTAATAAATAAGCCTGTGTAATAGCCACATCATTTATAATCACCTAATTTCTAATCTGTTACAACAGATTGTTAAATCCAGTTCTATCGACATTTGTATGTATTTATACCATACTTATTTCCTTTGCTATATTGTTTCTTAGGGTATTCGTTTGCTGTGAATCTTACACAAAGGTAATGTTAGGTTGGTGCAAAAGTAATTGTGGTTTTTGCCATTGAAAAAATTATAAAAACAGTAATTACTTTTGCACCAACCTATTTCATAAGGGTCTATAGTGTTTTAAGGCCATGCAAATTCACAATTAAGATTAGTGTTCTGATCTTGATAAGTTTTGATAGTCACTGGTGAAAGAACCAAAATGTAAGTGAAGTATATATATTATTATTTTCCTTTTCTTTCTATTTGACAGAAAATAGAGTGTGAGAGTGGGGTGGAAGACTGTGGCCGGTACCCTTCTGTGATTGAATTTGGTAAATATGAAATCCAAACCTGGTACTCCTCGCCTTACCCACAGGAATATGCAAGGTAATGGAATAAGTCTGGCAGGTGTATAACTTGAATGTCACATATGTGAGAAAGGAAAATTCTTGATTCTAAAGCAGGAATTAGGGATGATTTTAGGAAATAAATTTTGGTAGTCAATGCCAAGTGCTTCCCAAACTATTGCTTTTGCCAGCACCTTTTTATGGTATTCCTTGTTCTCGGTAAATTCCTTATGCTCCTTAGTTACATGGGCATTATAAATTTTGCCATTTAGCTTCTAGATTGTGCTTTCTTTCCTTGGTTAATTGGGGAAATGTTGGTTTTGTATGAAACCAAATTAAAAAAAAAAAAAGAAATTTGCCATGGTGAATTATTGGGTAGACTTTCTTCTCCAGTTGTCTTTTATATTTTTTAATTAGGCCTGTTACTTTTATCTCTGATTTCTGGCATTTTATTTTCAAGTTTTTAATAGAAATTTAGCAAAAGAAGGAAAAATGGGAGAAAGTAAGTGGGAATGGGTAGTCTTAAGAGACCCTTCCCCAAATTTTTACTTTAGAACATTTGTGACTTTGAAGAGAAGGCCAGGCCCGGTGACTCACTCCTGTAATCCCATCACTTTGGGAGGCCAAGGTGGGTGGATCACCTGAGGTTAGGTGTGCAAGACCAGCCTGGCCAACATGGCAAAACCCCATCTCTACTAAAAATACAAAAATTAGCCAGACGTGATAGGACATGCCTGTAATCCCAGCTACTCGGGAGGCTGAGGCAGGAGAATCACTGGAACCCAGGAGGTGGAGGTTGCAGTAAGCCGAGATTGCACTACTGCACTCCAGCTCAGGTGACAGACCAAGATCCCATCTCAAAAAATAAAAAATAAAAAGGAGAAAATAATGGTATCCAAGTTTTTGTTTGTCTTGAACTCAAGATTAGCCTGTGAACGAATATATCCCAAAATGGGTACATTGAGAATAGATGTCTTCCATAAAGTATGTCAGGGTACACTTTACTAGTATCTTCAAAAATTTTTTAGTCTGCAAAGTTTTCAGTATTTATAAACTTGATTTTCTTATAGAATAGATCTTATTTTTTTTCGTTAGCATGTGAGTGTCTGGCCAATCACGTAACTGGAGAAAATGCTAAGTGTTTTCTAAAAGTTAAGTGACAAAATAAGAGTCAAGAATTTTGGTTTCTCCTTCCTTATACCATTTGGTTGTGTGTTCTTGAACAATTTTAAAAGACTATGAGCTTTAATTTGCATAGGTAATGATAAGCCATGTGCTCTGAAAGATTTGAATAAAATTTGTACATAAGTGCAAGATTTGAAAGTAGTCTCACCTGTGTCTGCCTCTCTCTTGAAAACCTTTTTCCCCATTCTTATACTCCAAAGACCTTGCAAGTGCTTCTAAACATTTTCTTATAAATACCAGCCATGTTCATTAAGATATGGAAATAAAAAATGTTCTGATTTTTAAGGTGGAGAAAAAGTCAGCAGGGAAGAGAGGTGTTTGTCTTTTACTCAAAGTAACAGTGGAATTGGTAGAAAACAAATTAGGTCTTTTGATTTTCAGCCGTGCTATTTACTGCATTTAGACCATATATAAATCTCTGATAATAACTTTAAAGTTACCTCTTCCAGAGGTGGAAATGGTAACAACTAAGTTTGAGGACTTTTCAGCCTCATATGTATGCAGATTGTTTAAAATAATAAATTCACTTCTGAGTAAGATATTATATCTATACCACTAACCATATATAATTGGAAATAAGATAGTAAATGTGAATTTTGAAAAATATGCTTGGTCCCTTGACAGGATGATATCCTTATTAAGTTGATTTTTTAGGGTGGTGGTTCCACATCTGTAAAGCTTTCTTTATATAGGATATTTTTAAGGAAACAAATTATTTGTTCACAAAGTAAAGGGAGCACATATTATGGATTATATTAAAAAATAATGTATGGTTGTTTTTACATTCTGTCTTTACTATTGGCTGGCTTTCTTTCTTTCTTTCTTCCTTCCTTCCTTCCTTCCTTCCTTCCTTCCTTTCTTCCTTTCTTTCCTTTCTTTCCTTTCTTTCCTTTCTTTCTTTATTTTTTTGACGGTGTCTCACTCTGTTGCCCAGGCTGGAGCGCAGTGGTGCAATCTCGATTCACTGCAACCTCCGCCTCATGGGCTTAAGCGATCTTCCTGCCTCAGCCTCCCAAATAGCTGGGACCACAGGCATGTGCCACCACGCCCAGCTAATTTTTGCATTTTTAGTAGTGATGAGGTTTCACCATGTTGGCCAGGCTGGTCTCAAACTCCTGATCTCAGGTGATCTGCCTGCCTTAGCCTCCCAAAGTGCTGGAATTACAGGTGTGAGCCACTGCACCCAGCCTCCAATGTTATTATACAGCCTTTTTATGATGTAGAGAAAATTGAACAATATTTAATCTTCCCCCCAACAGTATAATCTATCTGATAGATTCTATGATTTTTAAACTTTAACAGATTACCAAAGCTTTACCTGTGTGAATTCTGTCTTAAATATATGAAAAGTAAAAATATTTTGCTAAGACACTCCAAGAAGTGTGGATGGTTTCATCCTCCAGCAAATGAAATTTACCGAAGGAAAGACCTTTCAGTATTTGAGGTAAGCGCGTGTAAATAAAAAAATTCAGCTTTTTGAAATCTAGTACTCCTAATTGTTGACTATGTGCTGATTTGTGTTTAGAAGGTACAAAGTATACTTAATTTTGGCACTGAAATTCAGACTGCCCTTTAAAACATCTCCATGTTTTGGAATGTTTATCTAACCATATTAAGCAACCATTTAGACTGATGAAGAATCCCTACTTCATCACATTAACATTTTTGTCTTCCCCAAAATCCCTGTCTACACTAGATATATTCACCATGAATTTATGATCTCCTCAGCTCTTTGTAAATTCTACTTTCTTTGGCAGGAGAAATGAGCTTTGTTCAGCAGCTCCAGCCAATGTCTGGCAGGTGCTCACTCTTCCAGGGAATTGAGCAGCTGTACATATCTCCTCAATACACAACCACCTGTGTTTCCATCCACTTCTTGGCAGTGTGGATAATCCTTTTGGTGAGACCCTAGCAGATGTTGGGACTCCCTCCCATCTGGGTAGATGGCCACCCCTGAAGAACTCTGCTGTTCACAGGAACCCCTTGTGGCCATATGTCTGTCATTGTGGGTTTCTTGAAGACATTTTGTATTTCCAGAATTGATTTCGTAGCAGGCCTTTGCCTCTATATAGTTGCATTGTTTAATTATGTATCTGTTGTCAGTTTCAGGGATTCCGTTAAGCTGAGTCAGTTTCACCTTGAGGAGACCATGCCTTTCTCACAGGTTACTGTCTGTCTGCAGGGCTTTTCACGTTTCTCCTTTATGCTCTTCCCTCCACTTGCACACTTCTGTTGTCTGCTGCATTTTCTCCTCTGTGACCCATTGTGGTGTGCATTGGTGCTCATTCCTAGGTGCTTGAAACAAGCCTACCTTGTACAGCAAACGTGATGTCCTCTTTCTCTGGAATATAGTTTCACTTCTGGATTTTCTTTTTCTGAATTGTTCAGGCTGAAACTTATTATTCTGCCTTACAGTTCTCTTTATTTCTGGCCTGCAGTGTCTTGCCATCCTATTAAATAAAGGGAAGGTTGTAGGTTTCTCACATGGACCAGGCTCCTTCTCAGACAGGTCTGGGCCCACTAGTTTTTCCCCAAGACTGATCAGAGAACATGGGAAACTCCAGTTGTGTCTTATGATTTTTTTAAAGCTTTCTCTTTTTCTATCAGCTCTTTCGGTAAGCTTGGAGGAAGAAGGGTATTGTTGCTGGGAAGATTAGGTGATATATTAGTTCTTACTAAAAGCTAGGCACTTTTGACATTTCAAGCTGGTTAGTTCTTTGTTGTAGGGGCTATGCTATACAGCGTAGGATGTTTAGCAGCATCTCTGGCCTCTGCTAATTGGATGCCAGTAGCACCACCACCCCTTCCAGTTGTGCCAACCAAAAATGTCTCCAGACGTAGCCAAACATCCCCTGGGGGCGCAGAATCACCCCCAGTAAGAACCAGTGGGCTAGAAGGAAGGCTGAATGCACGTTGCCTGACCTTCCTGTTGGTATGCTATCCTGCCAGCCCCAGCCAGCTGAGGTGACAGAGCTGCTCACAGTTGAAGCTTAGCTAATGTCACAAGTTCAGCTTTCCTATTGGCTCCTTCCTTGATGCCTTAGATCTTTTCTTCCAACCAAAACATTGTTTCTCAAAGCTCAAAACACATTGTTGGCCTTAAGTAATTATTTCATAAATCAGCATGAGTCAGCACTGGGATTGAAGCTCTCATAAATCCATGGAACGTCTTCTCATGGGCAAGGGAATCAGTCTTGTTAGGATGGTAAGAATGGGCTGTTCTTTCAGGGCAGGTGCTTTTGGACCATCCAGAGATGAGAGGGGAGACATCAGAAGCATGTATGTAAAATTCACTTATACGAATAAGGAGTTGGATTTGATAAGTACCGAGGTCCCTATTCTAGAATCTGAGTTAATAGAGTATAACATTTGGGCAACTTTTCTCCTAGCAGTTTCTTACAAAACTTATAAAATAAAGGAGGAATAATCACACATTACGATTTTCTGGCCTTCCCTTTCTTTATTCCTCTTACACTTTTCACAACCAATCAGAATTTTCTTCAGCACTGTCATCTCTGTATTTTTCTGGTTCACAGTTATGTATATCTCCATCTTTCCTTTTTGTAATATACTACCATTTCCAAAAGGGCCATACTCTCAAATACATGTAAACTTCCTTTAATTAAAGGGAGAATTGTATCCTCTGTGCCCATTGCCCATATTTGATTGTGTTGCTATGTATGGGACCTAGGTTCCATCCGAGGGAAATAGTTATATGAAATCTAAAAATAATTTGTGCAAGATGAGAACCCGTATGGTCCACAGGAGACCTGAGAATGGTCAAGTTCATTGTTTCAGAGCTCTGGTTAGCAAATATCCATTTCCCTTAAGAAAAGTGCTAGGGAAATTCTTCTTGAATCTGCTGTGTTTTCTATTTTCAAAGAGTAACTACATTTGATCAAAGAAATTGGCATCTGTGCCTAGCCTCCTGTCTATAGCCATCAGTATCACAGCTTGATTCTTTTATTTTGAAGAGAAGTAGACTGTAATCATAGTGCTTATTGTAGGTTGAAATTCATATCACTTTCTCTGTAAGTATTCCCAACATAGATATTTTATCTTTTCCAATTATATTTAAGATGATGCTTGGGATAAAACCAAAATGGAAACCTCTTTGCTAATCCACACTTCTGAGGAATCAGAATAATACAGTTCATTTATTTTAGTTTTATGTGAAACCCTTTTGAAACAACATAAAGTTTAACTTACTTGAGAAGTATTTTGATCTGTTTATATTTCCTTAATACAGATTTATTCGGTTCAGATAGAGAGGACATGCCTGATCATTTTTAGCTCAGAATAAATTACAAGTAAAAATTACTCCTTTACTAGTGGTTTGGCCCTTCTTTGGTAGCTTAAAGAGAAATTTTAACTACCTTAAATGTACCCTAATTTAAGAGAAAATGTGGAATTCTGATTTGCCAGTGACAGCTGTTTTCTGGTTAAAGCTGTACTTGCTTAATAGAGTGTTTTAATCTCTCAGTTTAGGATTTGGAAATAAAATGATGTACTTTCTGAAATACCATATAGAAGAAACAATTTTATATGGTGCAGTATTTTTATGTTAAATAATGTTGTCTGTTTCTTTTTGCTAGGTTGATGGGAATATGAGCAAAATTTATTGCCAAAACCTTTGCTTGTTAGCCAAGCTCTTCCTGGACCACAAAACGTTGTATTATGATGTCGAGCCATTCCTTTTTTATGTCCTTACAAAAAATGATGAAAAGGGCTGTCATCTGGTTGGATACTTCTCTAAGGTAAAACAAGAGCCAGCATGACCTTCATTTTCTTTTTCAAAATGTTTTTGGTAGAGCCCAATTCTTTGAACAGGGCTTTTTCATTACTATAATTTGAATAAGTGACATGTGTTTTTGAAAAGCTCAGGTTCTTGTTCAGAGCTCATTTTAAAAGATGAAAACAAAAAACATGGTGCCTAGTAAGTGTGTAAAGGACCTCAGCACTGTGTGCCGCCTTGATGACACTCTAATTGCTGCCTTGTGGACCACTTAGCGTCTTTGATTTTCTCAGTGTTTAGCTTATTTCCGTTTTCCCTTTAAGTGGTGTCAACATGAAGGTTTCAGTTTAGTGTAGCATTTAAGAGAGAATTCTCCTTTCTCCTTGTTGCCTTCCCTCTGTGGTCAACAGTATCTCAGTGAGTTAGGACGCTGGCATTTGGACAGTCAAGCTGATAAAATGACTGGTTTTACACTTTTGTCTCTTATTCTCTGTGCTATGGTTTTAAGTTCTAAAGCAATCTCACCTTTAGAAAGCCTAAGTATCAGCCGGGCTCAGTGGCTTACGCGTGTAATCCCAGGACTTTGGGAGGCCGGGGTGGGCGGATCATGAGGTCGAGAGATAGAGACCATCCTGGCCAACATGGTGAAACCCCATCTCTACTAAAAATGCAAGAAATTAGCTGGGCCTGGTGGTGCACGCCTGTAGTCCCAGCTACTTGGGAGGCTGAGGCAGGAGAATTGCTTGAACCTGGGAGGTGGAGGTTGCAGTGAGCCGAGATCGCGCCACTGCACTCCAGCCTGGCAACAGAGGGAGACTCCATCTCAAAA
Organism: Homo sapiens; assembly: GCF_000001405.40. NCBI lineage: Eukaryota > Metazoa > Chordata > Mammalia > Primates > Hominidae > Homo > Homo sapiens. Next base: position 190,725 of record NW_009646202.1, read on the forward strand.
ACAAAACAAAACAAAACAAAACAAGAACAAAGAAAGCCTAAGTATCTCTGGCTGTTAGAGTGGGGAAAACAATCGACATATTGAGGGGACGGATATAGCTTGTCCTTTTTACTGGTTCAGAGCAGTTCACTCACATTCTTCTGCTCAAAGGCTTCTAAGAAACAATAACTCCTTTGCAATAAAGGAAAACTGAGTTTGGAGATGTTTACCAGGTAATGACCTTAACTTTTCTGAGGTACCTAGGAAATAGTTAAATGTACCAGGATGGTACATAAATAGAGACAATAATTATGAGACTTTTAGATAGAAGGTCCAAACTCTCTTATTTATGATATTTTTTTATATTAGGTGATACATGAATTTTAATGAATCTGCTCTTGCACAATGTAAATGGGATGCTTTATAGAAGTGCCATTTTAATGAAGTTTCAAAAGATAGAATATATGTGAAGGTACTTGCAAACTATAGCTATCCTAAATTTAAGAATCAACCCAAAGATCATAAACAAAAATAAGTAACAGCATTCATGGAAAACTGTCTCAGTGTTTTAATCCACATATTTGGTAAAGCTTTAAAATGAAAAAGAAGAAAGTTAATTTGCACATTACAAATTCAAAAGATGATAGAGAATTAACACTGAATAAAACAATAAATAGGAAATCTATATGATTAATAAATAAAACACCTTACCTTTTATGTAGGTTTGTCAAGATCATTCTTCTCCAGAAACTTAAAAAGAATAGTGGTTGCGTCCTTGCTGTTAGAAAATGGTGTTTCTTTCATTGTCTGTGGATTTAAACATAGGCTTAACGGTGCCCACCTTCCTCGTGCTGCACTGACCATCCCACTCCTGGGTCTTGTGTTGGCTGCTGAGTAGCAGCCATGTGTAGAGTTGGTGGTGATTCTTGAAGTTTGAATTTCTGCCTCTCTTCCTGCCAGGGTACCCAAAATTTTACTCAGAACTAGCTCAACTTTTCTCATAGTTTCTTCTATAGCATGGCAGCAGCTGCTGTTATTTCCTACTATTCTGGAATACTAATATGCCTTGGCAGTATAGTGAAACAAAAATTAATCTAAAAAATAAGCATGTTAAAAGACTAGATGAGGCCGGGTGCGGTGGCTCACGCCTGTAATCCCAGCACTTTGGGAGGCCGAGGTGGGCAGATCATGAGGTCAAGAGATCGAGAGACCATCCTGGCCAACATGGTGAAACCCCGTCTGTACTAAGAATACAAAAATTAGCTGGGCATTGTGGCACCCTGTAATCCCAGCTACTCTGGAGGCCGAGACAGGAGAATCCCTTGAACCCAGGAGGCGGAGGTTGCAGTGAGCTGAGATTGCACCACTGCACTCCAGCCTGGCAACAGCAAGACTCCATCTCAAAAAAAAAAAGACTAGATGAAACTAAACCATATTCTCATGTGTCAGCTGGAATCTAGAGGACTCTGGCCCTTTGGGGCTATTCTTGAACCACATTCTAGAGGTTATTAGAACTACAGTTCAAGGATAGCCAGAGAAGGGCTGGAATGACCTGGAAAGGTTCAGTGCAAATTGTTACATGCATATGACTTTCCAAGCACATAATAGATGGCTGTAAACAGAAAGGAAAGAAGGATTAGTTATTTTATTCATAGCTTAGAATTTAGCTGTAGTAACATGTTAAGCTGCACGGAGGGGAAGAAGGATCACTACTATGTTGGATCTCAAAAAACTCCGAAAGGTGGAAATGGTTCTGGACAAAGCAAGGAATGGTATCAAGGATGAATTCTCTTAACCCAGAGTACATTTCTTTTTAGAGAGAGTGACCCATTTGTCTAACTTTGCAAAACAGACGAATTACTTGAACCTTTGCCATTGATGTGCACATCCAGTGAGGGACAATTCATCTTCTTAGAAAAACTGACACACATTGCTTCATCCTCATTTTTTAGAGGCTCCATAGACAACTACAAATGTGCAAAAGTTGGGAGTACATCTTTTTCACAAAGAAATCTTCAATTCTGCCCTGTAGGGTTTTTTCCACAACCATCTCCTGTGATCTTTCAAATTGGTTCATTAAAGATCTGGGTGTTCTGAAGTAATTCTTTGGTGTGGTCTGTACCATTTGTGGTCAGTCTTATTTGTGGTTTATATTTGGCCAGAGCATCCACGACCTCAAAAGCCTTTTCCAGATCTCTGTGTAGGTTTTGGCAACTTCTTTGTACTCTGAATAAAAAAATACTGCCCTGATGCCACATCCCATGAAAGTTGCAAATTCTTCTTTAACTGTAAGAGCTGTTTCTTACCATGTTCTACCCAGTCTTCCTCCTGGTTTCAAACTGTTCGTAATATTTTGGTCTAACCTTTGTTTGGAGGCTTTAGGGTTTCTTGTTGTTGTCTTTTTGTTTCATTTTATTTTGTTTTCCTGGTTTGAAATGCAGATTATTTCTCTAGCTTTTTACATTGACTTTTTATTCATAGGAGAAATATATGTGTGCACATCTACCCACACAGATACTGTTTTAGTTTCACTGGGACATTTGCCCAAAGGCAGAAGACAGATTGCTGTTGCAGAGTTGTAGATTATTATTATATTTAGCAAGATAGCCAGCTAAATCCTAACTTACTCCACTGGGTGACTCCCTGGGATGTTATTTTCTCTATCTCTGAAGTTATTTGAGCAAGGAAAGCATTTCTTTTATGCTGTCTATATTCTGTTTTATTTGGTTCATATATTTCCTTGGATTCTTTATGCATATTTTATGGCACTGACTTTCAAGAATAAAGATGTAGTTGAGAGGCATGTCAGAGTCGATGGTTTGTTGTTAATTGATAGTTTGATTGATTAATATAGTAGGATTTTTCTGCTTGATCCTGACCTAACCCATTGGCTTTCTTTAGTGGACAGTTTTACAAGGACAGTGGCAGGTGCAGGGAATTGCCCACTTCAGCAGGGCTCTGACATACTTGATCTGTTTCTCCTTCCCTCAGGAAAAGCTTTGCCAGCAGAAGTATAATGTCTCCTGCATAATGATCATGCCCCAGCACCAAAGGCAAGGATTTGGACGGTTTCTCATTGATTTCAGTAAGTGAAGTACTTTATTTACTTTCATGATCCAGGAAGCTGATGGCCGTTACAGGAAACAGTAAAATATAAAACTTTATTTAACCTGCATTGTTGTTTTTATCAATAGATAATGGGCTTTCTATTTATATTTACATAGGTTAGAACATCTTCCTCAAGTGAAAAATGTACTGCTGCTCAGTGATTGTACTCTAGGAAATTGAGACTAGATCTCTCGGCAGCAGGCCTCATGCACAAAGCCATTACCCTGAATGAACCGACAGAATTACATTCCATTTTGTGGTGCTCATGCTCATTAGCACCAAAAGAGGCAATTATTTGTGATTAAAGCTAAAGGAAGTATTATTTGAAAGGATTTTCAGCTCTCTGAAATTTTGCCTATAATCTTGTACAGTACAAAGCAGAAAAGGTATATTTCCATTTAGAAAAATAATTTTCTAGGCAGCTTATCCTGGGCCTTGCTAGTAGAAATAACTCTTACCTTATTTTGTTAATTTCCCTTTTCTATTATGGAAATTAATACAGTGTTTGTATCTAGAGGTTTCCCAAGAAATATTTATCTTATATGCACTCATATCTTCTGAACCTTCTCAGTTAAAACCGGCATAATATATAAAAGTATGCACATGGATAATGTTTTTAAAAATGGTAGTTTTTTTTTTCCTCCTTGTTTATATTATACTGGATGTGTAAATGTTGTGTTAGGGGTACATTTGGAGAATCAATTCAAAATATCTAGATAACATGATGACCAGATAACCCATGATAATAGTCATTTCTCGTCATGTAAAAATCTGTCACTGGCCGGGCGTGGTGGCTTATGCCTGTAATCCCAGCACTTTGGGAGGCCAAGGCAGGTGGGTCACAAGATCAAGAGATCGAGACCATCCTGGCCAACATGGTGAACCCCATCTCTACTAAAAAATACAAAAATTAGCTGGATGTGGTGGCACACACCTGTACTCCCAGCTACTAGGGAGGCTGAGGCAGGAGAATCACTTGAACCCGGGAGGTGGAGGTTGCAGTGAGCCGAGATGGTGCCACTGCACTCCAGCCTGGGTGACAGAGTGAGAGACTCTGTCTCAAAAAAAAAAAAAAAAAAAAAAAAAAAAAAAAAGTCTGTCGCTAGGAACCAGGTGCTTCTTGATTACCAGATTGCAGTTTATCTGATTATTAACTGAAAGGAGGAAAATTTAGGACTTTGCACAATCTTCATCAGCTACATCAGATGCAAAAACCACAATGTAAATGCGCTTACAGAAAACCATGAAGAAATATAGTGAATCTAAATCTATATTGTTAGGTATTAAAAGATTAAGGTCTGATTAAAGTGTAAAATAACTGAATAGCAGTTTTGGACTGATTTATATGATTTATTGACATTGAAGAATATGATTCTTTTAAAAGAAGAATTTTGATTATTTTTCTCTTTTTAGATAATATTTTTAGTTATTTATTAATTACCCTAGTCTTATCTATACTTTCCTGACCTAATTATCCATGAAACCAGTAATCCCAAGGAGGGCCACCTTACCAAATGCAGTGTACCATTTTTATTTTTATAGAGTCCTAGCTGTAATCATTTCTGAGGGCAAAACCATTTATCTTGTTCTCTAGTTTTGTGTGGCTACCATTCATAAGTAGTTCATAAATATAGTTTCTGGTATGCATAGCAGCCATTCAAGCCTTAAATGTTTGGTCATATCTATATGCCTACAGAATAAGGCAAACTCCTTAGCTCAATATTTAACGTCTTCCAACATCTAGTTCCAGCCTGTCCTTTAGGCTTTTTCATCTACTAATCTCCTTTTTCTCAAATAGTCTGAGCATGGTCCTATACCTCTATTTTTTTGTCTATTCAGTCCCTTCCTTGAAATGATCACCTCGTCCTTTCCTAGACTCCGTCTGTTCAAAATCCTGCCCATTGTTAAGAGCCAGCTCAAGAATCTCTGCTTTTTGATCCCACCTCCTGGAATTTTATCTCATACCTTTATTTTATCTTATACCATATTCTATATGGTATCACACTTACACTCTGTTCACCCTTTTATGATAATTATTGATGGAGGTTTCATACTTCCAACTTCTCTGTATCCACTAGGACAGTTTCCTTTATAATAATATGTATTAGATGATATAAATTAAATTTTATTGATATAAACTAAATTTCCAAATTGATATATGGTTGCTGTCCACAATCATTGTCTACCTAAAATTAAAAAGGAACTGGTACTTACTAGGTAAAAGTTCAAGCTCTAAATTCAGTAGTATCTTATTTGTACAGCATGATCTGGCACTAAGGCCTTCTACATAAGAGAACAATCTGGGTAACAAATACATTATCTTCAAATGCTATGTCTTTTTTTTAACCATTTTAGTGAAAACTGTTACTAGAAACTACCTTGTATTATTAAACTACAGAACACATTGAAACCTTTTCTCAGTGGCTCCAGGCCACCATGATGAATGCTGTCCACCAGGATGTGAGCAGGCAAAGTAGTGCTGAGGGTGTGGTTTTTTTCTTTTCTCTTTCCTGTACACCTAGCATTGCCCCTACTGGAGTGAGTTAAGAAGTGCAGTGAAAGATTTGAATAAAGTTGAAGAGACTGGTGTTATTCCCTCAGAGAAGGGGAAACTAGGGGAAGAATTTTATAGCACTCAAAGAAAATGGGAACTGGTGTAAACCCAATAGAAATTCAGTTTAAAACCAAAAGAATTTCTTGGCTATAAAAGTTTTAAGGAAGATAGAGTAGGCTGCTGAAGAAATTAATAGCACCTTCTCTTGGAAGTTACTTAAAGTAATAGTAGATAAATATCTTTCCAAAATGATTGAAATCCAGCCTTTGAAGGTAGGGATGAGTCACATGACCTCTCATGATCATTTTTGATCTCATAATTTGGAGCCCAGGATAGAAAGCTAACTAGGGTTACAGGTTTTCTAAAATCTGCTCTGGTTTTTTAAAGGACTTTTTAATGGTTAAATTTATTTTATTTCTATTTGGTAAATGAGCCTGGGGCCTTTTGGTCAGGGATGTATTTTCAGTAAGTCAAATGAGGTTGTAAATCAGGTAGATCTTTATAATTGCCAGTTTAGTAAGCTGAAACACGATACGAGCAGGGAGAAAGATATAGCCGCCCACTTGCACACTTGATCACAGACATGGGTGGAATGTGATGCACTGTGTGTATATACATGCTCCTAGACTTACAGTGGGGCTGTGGGCTGATAAACCCATCATAAAGTGAAAATATCATAAATTAAAAATACATTTAATACACCTAATCTACCAACCATCATAGCTTAGCCTGGACTTTAAATGTGCTCAGAACACTTACATTACCCTACAGTTGGGCAGAATCATCCAACACAAAGCCAATTCTATAATAAAGTGTTGAATATCTCATGTAAGAGTGTTGTACCACATATCGCTAGCCCAGGAAACGATCAAGTATGGTTTTTACTGATCATACCATAGTAAAGTTGAACCAAGTTGTAAGTTGTAAGTTGAACCAGTTGTAAGCCAAGGACTGTCTGTATAAAGAACTGCAAATGCAGGGCTTTGAACACTGTTCTTCAGGGCAGCAGAGTGAGGTGGAATGGTCATCCATGGGACCATGTGCTGCTTGCAGAGTAAGTCATTTGTATATCACTTCCTAGACCAGCTTCTCTGGGATTTGTCAGAGCAAGGCTCCCCAGGAGGCCATTTGCAGAGTTTGGCCAGAGTGAGTAAAGGGCACCAACTCCCAATCTGGTTATAAACTCCCTAGTGGGTTTTATGACTCTTTGCCCACAATTGGAATGGGTGGAGGAGAGAGTGACTATCGTGGATTGGTTGAGAACGCATTCCTTCCTCTTGGATTCTAGGATTCCCTTTCTCAGTCAGAAAATTTGAAAGTCTTCCCCATCTCTGTCTGTAAAGTCTTTCTATCTCTCTCTCCCTCCGTCCCCACCAGACATCTCAGAACTTCAGAGAACTCCCTTGCCCACAAAACATTTGCAGTTCCTACTTCAGAGCCTCACACCGTCAAGGCAAGGAGCTCTTCTTCTCCCAGCCACTGCTGAGCACTGGGGGCCCAGAGTGCTCCCTCCCAAGCCCTGGACTGCTTCTGCTGCTGGGGCTGCCCAGCAATGCCTTATCCATCTCACTATTTTTTTCTTTAATTTTGAAATAATTTCAGACTTAGAGAAAAGCTCTAAGAATAATACCAAAATTTCCCGTACATTGTTGCACATGTTCACATTTTATCACATCTGTTTTCTGCTCTATTATTCTCAATCTCTCCCTTTGTTTCTCTTCTCTCTCATATTTTCTTTTCAGAATCATTTGAGAGTAAGTTGAAGATGTGTTGCACCTTTACCCCTAAATATTGCAGTTTTTCTACAAAGATGCTCTCATATATAGCCACAATACAAATTATTAAAATCAAGATATTAAAGTAATTTATGCACATTTGTTCAAATTTTAAATTTTGCGAGATTATACTGATGTTCTTTCTGGAGGAAAAGAAAAATCTCCTACTCCAGGATCACATGGAGTATGTAATTATGTCCCTGGGGCCTCCTTTAATCTGGAATAGTACCTGCTTTTTTGTTTTGTTTTGCTTTGCTTCGTGTTTTCCATGATTTTGATATTTTTTAAGCATACAGGCCATTTATTTTGTATGGTGTGCCTCAATTTGGGCTTATCTGATGTTTCCTCATGATTAGATTTAGGCTGTACATTTTTTGGCAGGAATACCATAGAAGTGACCGTATGTCCTTCCCAGTGCATTTCATCAGGATCATATGATAATACATTTGTCTCATCACTGGGTTAAGGTGGTAACTGCCAGGCTTCTTCACTGTGAAATTACCATTTTTCGCTTTGTAATCAGTAAGCATCTGGTGAGAAGATACTTTGGGATTATATAAATATCAATTCTCATCCAATTTTCACCTCCTAGTTTTACCATTCACTTATGGCTCTTATCTAAAATAATTATTACTATGATAATTACCAAATGGTAATTTTCTAATTCCATTCTTTCTACAACTTACTAATTGGCATTCTAGAAGGAAGAATTATTTCTTCTTCCCCATTTATTTAATTTTTTTGTATAATTGTGGGTTTTAATTTTATTCTATAGGTTATAACCTGTCATTACCATGATTGATTTTGATGTTCCCCAAACATCAAATTGTCCCAGATTTATTTATCAGCAAATGTTTCAAGTGGGTTCTTGTGCCTTTTCCACATGCTTCCATCCTGTGGATTCTTCCTTCCTTTCTGCCACAGCATGATGTTCCAGGTTTAGCTTATCCTTTTCTTAAGCCAGCCCTGGAATCATCCATTTCTCCCAAGCCTTGGTTCCTTATGGTGGAGAACAGTAGTTAGGAACCAGGATCTGGGCTGGGTGAGGTGGCTCATGCCTGTAATCCCAGCACTTTGGGAGGCCGAGACAGGCGGATCTCTTGAGGCCAGGAGTTCAAGACCAGCCTGGCCAACACGGTGAAACCCTGTCTCTACAAAAAAAAAACACAAAAATGAGCCGGGCTTGGTGGCAGGCGCCTGTAGTCCCAGCTACTTGGGAGGCTGAGGCAGAGAATTGCTTGAACCCGGGAGGTGGAGGTTGCAGTGAGCTGAGATTGCACCGAGCTGAGATTGCACCACTGCACTCCAGTCTGGGTGAAAAAGCAAGACTTCATCTGTTAAAAAAAAAAAAAAAAATGGAGGAAACCAAGTTCTGATCACTTAAATGTGCCCATTGCTGCTTGGGTGTCACTGCTTCTAGCCCTCTCAGAGGACAGAGCTAGGATAGCATGCATATTTATATCCATGTATGTGCACATATACATATGGGTGTTATAAACACATATGCGTGTACACACACACTCCCTTCATGAGTTCAGACCATTCCAGATCTGCGCCACCATACGGTTGTATTCTGTCTTTCCCTCTTCCCATGTAATTCCTTTCTCTGACAGTGAGAACCCTGACTTCCATTACCCACAATATACTTATGTGCTACACCCTAGAATACACAGTAAGTAGTTTCAGAATTACTAACTCATGCCATTGTGAAAAACAAACCTCTTAAGTGGAGGTCAATATTTATATATGGTTCCTTTTGGCTTTACCCCAAGTGTATTTAGTCAAAACACTGTGTTTAAATGTTACTAGAGTTAGTTTTTCTCCCCCTTCAGTGTTACTGTAGTATTCATTGGAATACAATTAGGCTTATTTGTTTCTGTTTGTTTTTTATTTTATACTTGTTACCTTTTTAAATTAGAATGTAAAACATTAACATGATTTTAAAAATGGAAACTGTATTAAAGGGTATTCTCAGTGAATGTGCCCTCTCTACCCATTCCCATTCCCTCATCCTTTCCTGCAGGTCTCCAATCTCATTAGCTTGTAGTTTATCCTTCCTGTTTCTTTGTGTACAAATGAGCAGATAGATGTGCATTTTTCTAATTTCTCCTCCTTTCTAACACAAAATGTAGCATACTATAGGTAGTCTTTTGCATTTTGATTTTTCCAGTATATCCTGGAAATGACTTCATAGAGATTTCTTTTCTTTGACAGCTGCACTCTACTCCGTTGCATGCATGTATACAGTTTGCTTACCTGCTTTCCTATGTATGGGTTTATAGGTTGTTTCCAATATTTTGCAGTTTAAAAAGTAGTGTCATGAGTAATCTTGGGCATATTTTGACTGATAGATACTTAGGTAGCAGTTATTGTATATTAGATATCCTTTCAGTTGTTAGGACTCTGTTTGGCTAGGTAATAAGTGAGCAGATAATGAATTGTCTTTTACTCGGGCCTGCAGAGCCAGAACCCTGGCTGATGGGCAGGATACAAAACCCGTTCTCCTGGGCTCTGACCCAGGAGAGACCGAGGGAACACCAACTGATTCAGCAGTAGGTGAGAGAACCAAGTGCCAGATGGTGGTGAGGGAGGTGGCACCATCACTCACATGTGTGTTTGTGTATATGCATTTATCTGATGCCAAACTGGAGGATAAAGGAAGATGCGAAGAGTCATGTCCTTCATTTTTTACCTCTTTACTTTAACCTTATTGATTGGGATACCACACTCTACATTCTGCTAAACATCAGCAACCAAAAGGGAAGAAGACATAGCTCTTGCTGGGCTGTCAAGTTCACTGACAAATCAACAAATGTTGCATAGTATTTTGGACAGTATGCCTTGAGAGCTCATAAGAAGTTGAAATGAAAACATTCTAGGCAGAGGGGAGCAGCATATTCACAAGCATGACTGCGTGAGGAAGCATGTTACATACCTGGGTAACTACAGCAGAAACTCCAGGTAGATTAAAGACTTGATTACCAAAAAACAGACACACAGAAACACTTAAAAAGCTAGAGGAGAGGTGGGGTGCGGTGGCTCACGCCTGTAATCCCAGCACTGTGGGAGGCCGAGGCAGGCAGATCACGAGGTCAGGAGATCGAGACCATCCTGGCTAACATGGTGAAACCCCGTCTCTACTAAAAATGCAAAAATTAGCTGGGTGTGGTGGCACACACCTGTAGTCCCAGCTACTCGGGAGGCTGAGGCAGGAGAATCACTTGAACCTGGGAGGCGGAGCTTGCAGTGAGCTGAGATCGCACCACTGCACTCCAGCCTGGGCGACAGAGCGAGACTCGGTCTCAAAAAAAAAAAAAAAAAAAAAGCTAGAGGAGAGATTATGTATAATTATTTATCTGATCTTTGGATGGTCAAGGACATCATAACCATCAAAGCAATGAAAGAATATGCAGATAGACTTGACTATATAAAAATATAGAACTTCTATCTAGTAAAAAGTATTAATATTTAAAGCAAACATAATGAGAAAGATGTTTGATGTTTACAACATATGTGCTAGGCAAAGTTTAATATCTATAGTGTTTAAATAAATATATATATACTTTTAAGTTTGGTAGCATTAAAACAAAAACCCTAATAGAGAAATGGGCAGAGGATCAGCTATGGTGGCTCATACCTGTAATCCCAGCACTCTGGCAGGCCGAGACAGGAGACTCACTTGAGCCCAGGAGTTCAACACCAGCCTGGGCAACACAAGGAGACCATCTCTCTCTCTTTCTCTCTCTCTCTCTCCCCCTGTTCTCCCCACCCCCCCATTCCCCTCCTTCTCTCGTCTCTCAATAAATACATAAACAAATAGGCAGAGGACAGGAACACAGAATGTACAGAAAAGGAAAATCACTGGTGGCCACGACATTGCTGACATTTACTGAGTGAGTAACATGTGCCAACCCCTTTCCTAAGAGTCCTGCATTTATTGATTGATTCATTCAGTCCTCACGGCAACAGTTGAGATATGTGCTTTTAGCCCCATTCTATGGGTGTTGAAATTGAGGCACAGTTACACAAATAAGTTGCACAGCTGCAAATTGAACCCAAGCACTTTAACTGTTAGCCACTCCACTCCGAAGTCTCTTAGGTATAATGGCTAATTCAAATATGAAAAAAAAATTGTTGGTGGTTTAAAAATGCAAATTTAGTAACTGCAAGATTACAATTTTTTGCCTACCACACTAACAAAGAGTTTACAACTTACCCAAATCTAACTAAGCTGGTGGAAAATGGACACCTTATTTACACTGAAGAAAGTGTATATTGGTAGGCATTTTCTGGAACTTTGACAGTGTGTATCAAAAACATCTAATGGTTTTTTTTTTTAATAAAATTTTATGTATTTAAAAACTAGGCTGGGGACAGTGGCTCACGCCTGTAATCCCAGCACTTTGGGAAGCCAAGGCAAGCAGATCACCTGAGGTCAGGAGTTCGAGACCAGCCTGGCCAACATGACGAAACCCTGTCTCTACTAAAAATACAGAAAATAGCCGGGCGTGGTGATGGGTGCCTGTAATCCCAGCTACTCGGGAGGCTAAGGCAGGAGAATCACTTGAACCTGAGCGGCGGAGGTTGCAGTGAGCTGAGATTGTGCCATTGCACTCCAACCAGGTGACAGAGTGAGACTCCATCTCAAAAAGTAATACATAAAACAAAAAATAGAGACAGGGTCTTGCTATGTTGCCCAGGCTGGTCTCAAATTATGGAGCTCAAGCATTTCTCCTGCCTTGGCCTCCCAAGTGTGGGATTCAGGTGTGAGCCACCGTGCCCAGCCTCCAATGGTTATTTTCTAAAGGAATTCATTCTAGGGAAATCAGCATATTTTAATCAACAAACATTATTTTCATAGTTAATATAGCAACATTATTTTGTTTCATATTATTATGTTTTAAATAGTGGACTTCTCTTTTTGCCTCCCTCCCCCAGCCCCTGATTATAGCAATATGGACTCATAGTAGAAAGTTAAAAAAAAAGGTGTAATTAATAGAAGAAAATGTCACCCAGAGAGTTAATGTTTTGGTATATTTGTCCTTCACACTCATTATTTACAACAGGTAAAAAACTAAAACAGACTTGATATTTCAAAGGCAAGAGAGAACCATTCCCACGAGAAAGTTATGGCACATCCATATAATGGAATATTATTAGCTGCTGAGAATTATGTTCTGACCAGGTGCAGTGGCTCATGCCTGTAATCTTTGGGAGACTGAGGCAGGAGGATCACATGAGCCCAGGAGTTCGAGGCCAGCCTGGGCAACATAGTAAGACCCCATCTCTACAAAAATAAATAAATGAAATTAGCTGGGCCTGGTAGCTTGTGACTGTAATTCCAGTTACTCAGGAGGCTGAGTCCTCCATTAAGGATGGCTTGATCCCAGGAGGTCAAGGCTTCAGTGAACTATGATTGCACCACTGCACTCCAACCTGGGCAATAGAACCAGACCCTGTTTCTTAAAAAAAATTATCTGGGAATTTGTAATGCTTGTGATAAGCAAGTGGCTTTCAAAATTATATATGTAATATGTTCTCAATTATGTAAAAAATATGCAAAGCAAAACAAATACATTTCTAGATGACCTCTGGAATTAGAATTACAGATACTTTTTATTTTCTTATTTATACTTTTTGCTGTAACTAAAAAGAAAAGAGGCCAGAGTCAATGGAGGCCTGACAGTGAGGATGCATGGAAAAGAGGCAGGTCCTGTTCGTTCCGTAGCAGGAGCATGCCTGGTGCAGAGTGGTGCTCAGAAAATACTGGTATTTATTGAATGCATAACTGAGCTTGGAGAGATAGTGAGCGCAGCTTTATGTAGCTTTCACTGTGCGTTTGGATGTCTACGTGCACTTTGCACAGACTCCAGAGCTCAGCAGGGGGTCTGCATTAGAGGGAGCAGCTGGGAGTCGTGGACATGCGGTGGTAGCTGAAACCATGGATGTGGGTGAGGGCAACCAGGGGGAAGTGTATAGGGAAACAGGGCTGAGGGTGGAGTGCTTGGAGTGTTAACATCTAAGGGACTAATAAAGAATGAGGAGCTCGCCAAGGAAATTTGCAAAGGGCCCAGAAGTCAGAAGAAAATTGGGAGATAATGGTGTTAGGAAAACCAGAAGAGGTCAGTATTTCAACAGTAACAGTCACAATAATCATCATAGCTGCCACTTCTAGAGCCCTTGCTATGTGTCAGGCACTGTTACCGGAATTACACACATTTACTCACTTAGTCCTCACGGAGACCCTATGGGGTAGGTTACTGTGACCATCTCTCTTCTGGGACGAGACACTAAGAGACTTGTCTAAGATCATCCCCCAGAGATTCAGTGCCCCAGAGAGAAAGTCATAAGAAGTATTCTTTGGACAACTGTATATTAAGTGCGATTAAAAGTAGATTCAAAAAGCTTTTGACTGTTTTATTCTGTTTGGTTGGGCGTAGCGTCTCACGCCTGTAATCCCAGCACTTTGGGAGTCTGAGGTAGGTGGACCACTTGAGGTCAGGAGTTCAAGACCAGCCTGGCCAACATGGTGAAACCCCATTTCTACTAAAAATACAAAAATATGGATGTGGTGGCATGTGCCTGTAGTCCCAGCTACTCAAGAGGCTGAGATAGGAGAATCACTTGAACCTGGGAAGCAGAGGTTGCAGTGAGCTGAGATCACCCCACTGCACTCCAGCCTGGGCGACAGAGCAAGACTCTGTCTTTTTTTTTTTTTCTTTTTTTAAAACAAAGCAAAACAAAACAAAACAAAAGCTTGACTGTCAAGGGCTGGGGACACAGGAACCTAGTTGTCTTTATTTTTAAGCTGGAGAGCCTGGAGCATGTGTATGTACATCAGTAGGGAAAAGAAAGAGCAGCGCTGATGGAAAAAATCGAGGGGAAAACAAAAAGCAACATCCAGGCAGGTGGTTTATTACAAAGTCTGATCTGGCATTTGATGAAATTCAACATTCTCTCCTAACTAAAATACTTAAACCTACTAACTAGAACTATAAGGGTTCTAAATCTCAGATTAACTTTTTCTTTTTTATCGGGGGCAGACGGACGTGTAACTAACGCTATAAAGGGTAAAGGACAGCTGGATCCAAGTCTACAGACTTACGTCTATAGTTTTTAGAGACCAGATAAACTTGCCATTAATATTAATTAATGGCAAGTTCGTCAGTTAAGTTAAATATCAGTTAATTGTACATTCAGGCATTTCTAAAATTAGTATGTTTGTGGAATAATCATAAAAATGTGTCAGCAGTTTCAATTTTTGGCTTTCTTTATTCAGTATTAAAATATTGGGCAGTCCTTCATGGAACAAGGCTGTAACTATAGGAAGCAGAAGTGATTGAATGAATTAGGCATTCACTTCGGGGAATTCCCTTTGCTGGCTCTTCATATGTTGAGGGTTTCACCTTAGCTTTTGTGAGGTCCGTGTGCTATTTAAAAACTGAGTCTATAATTAATCAGCGCTGCTAGAAGATGGTGCAAATGGCCCAGTTTTGTGCCTCCAGGTTATGAATTTGGCTCTTGTCTTCAGTGTGGTTTGCAGCGTCCTTCTACATGTCCCCTTTTTTAGAAATGATACTCCCCTCCACCCCTGCCCCCCACACACATATACAGCCAACCGGATTTAAGGAAAGCAGGAACTACAATAAACTTTTGAGGAAAGATGCTTTAGGGTATGATTTAGTACCTTAGTTCCTTTCTCACTTGAGTATTAATCAGTGTGGTTTTCTGCACCGTCGTTCTTTCCTCCTCTGGTTTAATGACAGAGATTTCTTCTTTAGGTGCCACAACCACCCACGTCCGTAGAGATCCCCGGGCTTGTTTCTCCTTTAGCCTCTGAATAGTTCTTGGCTGATTTCTTGAGGAAGCACCGCATTGGAAGAGAAAAGCATCTTCTCTTTGGTTTCCTGCTCCCTGCTTCTCTGCCCTTTTAAGTCCATAAAGCGAATTAGGAAGAAAGCCACATACTTCATTTCTACCCAGGGGGGTATCATGTCAGGAGGCTAATCATATCCACTCTCTCAGAGAGAAAGCTGCTTCTTCCCAGAATCTTAGATGCAAGCTACTGGTTTAAATGTTGTATTATATGATGGCTAAATACAGAAGTACGTGTCATAGTAGTTCAGGTTGCCAGCTACTACTAGTTTTCACAGTCTGCCTTCAGTGGGCTATTTTGTTTAAAAGAGCTTCCACTTACAAGCTTTTCAAAATACAATTTAAGTGAAACTTAAGAGTGTTTTTAAGTAGAGACTAAGTGGTTTCATCCTACCTGAAAATTGCCTTCTTGAAATAAATGTTTGATACCCACTGGCCTATCTCCTCTGGAAAACAGGAGTTTTCATTTAGAAGTCCAGTTGGTTGGATTCCAGTAAGCCGTTTCACCTGACTGTATTACGCCCCCTGGAACCAGGGCTGTGCAGGAGCCACCGGCTTCTCCCAGAGGGCAGGGTGAGCACAGTATCAGGGCACATGGCTTACCCTCAGGAGCTGCATCCCAGCCTCAAGGCCCTGGTGAGAAACTGTGCTCTCCAGCAAGGGTCTCTGGCCGTCTCTGCACCGTGTGGTCAGCTTAGGGCTGTGCCTCCCAAGACAGGACCTGAGGATGGGTATGGGTAGCAGAGATATTGCTCCCTTTGCTCCTGGGTGTCCAGAGCTCCAGTGCCTGTCACCTCACCTCTAGCAGCCTCAGGAGCTGTGTAAATTCTGTCATATACATGATGAGGGAGATCATGAAGCACTCACTTGAATCATAAAGTCTGTCTGGGGGAGGCTGCAGAGTAAATATTCCACTTTCCCCACTTACAGGCCCCACAAACAAGCCTCAGAAATGTGTTTGGAGGGACCATGACAGCATCTCTTAGGGACTTGTGTTATTTAGTTTTCTCTCTCTCTCTCTTTTTAGTGGCACTAACCAAAAAAAAAAAACAACAACAAACTAGGCTAAGCAAGTGCAGAGTCATTTATAAACTTGCATAGGTCTTTTATATACAGTCATTTATCATTTAAAAACTGAGATTCATTTTGAGAAATGCACCATTAGGCAACTTCATTGTCGTGTGAACATCATAGTGTATGTACTTAGACAGACCTAAGTCGAAGTCTATAGGTTACTACACACCTAGGCTATGTGGCATAGCTGATTGCTCCTAGGTGACCAACCTGGACAGCAGTTACTGTACTGGATACCGTAGGTGTTAGTGGTTGTAACATAATGGTATTTTTGTATCTAAACATATCTAAATATAGAAAAGGTACAGTAAAAATATGCTGTTATAATCTTATGGGACTACCATTGAATATGTGGTCCATCGTTGACCTAAACATCATTATGTGGTGCATGACTGTATTTATTGTTGATTGCCCATGTCTTTCACCAAAAGTAAGCTTCATGAGAGTGTGGACTTTGCTCTTTGCTGCATTCTGATCTTCTAGAAGAGCCTGGCGCTTAGTAGGTTCTTATTAATTGTTGAACAAATGTTAAATTAATTATGACGGGAAGAACTTTTAAAATGTGCTTTCCCTTCTAGTGTGTGATTCTTAGGGACAATTTTATTTTATTAGAACATAAACCATCAGCACTGGTTTACTTACTTCCAAATGATGCTAGGTATGCCCTGTCTTCTTTCGAGGTCTGGTACTTTTGCTGAAATGCAGCCTCTATCTTAAGATCATTTCAGTTGCATCAGAAAGAAGATGTCACTGCCTGCTCTAAACCTTGGGCGGAGAAAGCAGAGCTGTGACATAATCCACATTTGTACATAGCAGGTTGAAGAGACACTTAAATCTTTTGCTTACTTTTTCTCTTATCAGATAATTCATTTCTTGATTGCATTTATTTTTGAAAGGAAAATACCAGCTTTAGCCATAAGAAGCTGTCAAGAAAGCTTCTCTTTGCTTAGCCTTCCCAGCAGCTACGCTCCTGGGTGAGTGCAGTCAAGGCAATCATTAAAGAATAATAAGTTATGCTTTTGAAATGGTGCTCAAGTACTTCATAGCCTTTTCTAAGATAAGGAGCCTCCCACCTTTGCCCCCATGACACTTGTTGGAAAATACTGGACCAGCAGCTATATCCTTGGGCTTTTGCTGGGTTTTGGAAGACACATTTTGACCTATGTAATCAAGTATAATGATGACATTTATTTTAATAGGATTCTAGTCTGTAATATAATAAGGAAAATGGCTATTTTTCCTTATTTTCTCATTATAATATGTTACACTAAAAGCTTCTGCCATTACTGTTTTATTATATTGGTCTGAGGTACAATATATTTTAATATGCTAAAGATAACATCAAGGTTGAAAATTGAGCTCTCAGTGATTTATTCAGAGGTTGACTGTTGCTGAATGCATTGAAATGAGTTGCATGAGACAGTGCGGCTAACGATTTATTTGTGTATCTTTTTTTAAGCTAAGCTTGTCATAAATAAGAGCAAATAAATAGCTCTTATAGAATAGTTTGTATTCATTGCCTCAATGAAAACATTGTAAATATGAAACATACGGTCTGCAGTCTCTCTCATTTTTTCTGAAAGCTAGTGTTTTGCCTTACATAGCTCAGAATTTTTTCAAGTTTTGGCATGCAGGTGGTTGGTTTTTTTTTTTTACCAAACAAATTTTTTGTCTGTTTGGATTTCTAACGTTGACTGGCATTTGCATTGAGTTATTTTGAAATCCACTACTGGACAAATTCCATTCAAATAATTGGTATGAGAATAACCTAATCTTCAGCAGAACTGGAACAAAATGAAACCTTAGTGGGACCATCAAGAGGGCAGGAACTTGGTCATTGCTAAACTCCAAGCCATGAGCACAGTGCCTAGCACATAGAGGATACAGAATAAAGGATTGTTGGGGGAAATCAATGAATGCCTGAGTCTAGTTAATCCACTTCTTTGTATGACTGTCAACACCTGCCAGATGCATCCAGCTAGCTTTTGACCAGTAGTGCTTAAACTCAGATCTCCTCTCAGTCTTTGTTTTTTACACTTTATTTATCCCTTCATCCCATCCTTCAGCAAACATGCTTTAAATACACTGTGCCAGGGATGGTCTAGGTGATGAGGACATAAGGATGAATGATTTAGTCCTTGCCCATAGGGAAGTAGAGGGTCAGACACAAAATTCTTCCCAGTCCTGCAATTTCAAATTTCAGAGAGGCTGTGGCAGTGCAGAGGAGGAAATGCTTCCAACTCTATTTTCCATTTACCCAGTTAAGATATATAGAAGAGACGCATTTTTCCTTGCTTTTCTTTTTAAAGACTGGGTCTCACTCTGTCACCCAGGCTGGAGTACAGTGGCGTGATCATAGCTCACTGCAGCATTGAATTCCTGAGCTAAAGTGATCCTCCCATGTCAGCCTCCCAAGTAGCTGGGATTACAGGCACATGCCACCATTCCTGGCCATTTTTCAGGGGGAGGGGTGGGGGGTCAGCTAGAGACAGGCTCTTGCTTTGTTGCCCAGGCTGGTTTCCAACTCCTGGCTTCAAGTTATGCTCCTGCCTCGGCCTCCCAAGGCACTGGGATTACAGGTGTGAGCCACTATGCCCTGAGCTGTTGTTAAAACAAGATCAAGAAAGATTTTGCTCTGCTTGGTTGAAATTAGTGCTATACCTCATTTGGGTTTCAAGAGAACTATTCCCCCTTGAACATATATTCCAGCTTGTAATAGAGACATTATGTTTGAGATAGAATATTCTAAGATAAAAGTTTGCTTCCACTTACCCCTCTCATGATGGCATTTCGTTTTTTTGTTCTTTTTTTTTTTTTCTTTTGAGACCGAGTCTTGCTCTGTTGCCCAGGCTGAAGTGCAGTGGCACGATCTCAGCTCACTGCAGCCTCTGCCTCCCGGGTTCAAGCAGTTCTCCTGCCTCAGTCTCCTGAGTAGCTGGGATCACAGGCACGTGCCACCATGCCCGGGTAATTTTTGTATTTTTAGTAGAGACAGGGTTTTGCCATGTTGCCCAGGCTGGTCTCAAACTCCTGAATACAAGCGATCCACCCACCTCAGCCTCCCAAAGTGCTGGGATTACAGGCATGAGCCACCACGCCTGGCCCTAAACAACACAACTATAACTTCAGCTGGTTGTAAGGTAGTTTTTTGGTTGGTTGGTTGGTTGGTTGTTGGTTTTTTGTTTGTTTGTTTTTAAATATAATTTCATATTGGGTAAAACAAAAGGTTTTCCTTAACTTGTTTAGAATTGTTTAGGAAAATACTAGTTAGGAATCTGATTTTTTTTCTCCCCCATGGATTTGTGGTTAGCATGTTTGTACTCTAATATTCATGCTACATTTTCATGTTTACCAATATAAAAACCTTTTTTGTAATTATTTATATGGAGTCCTGCTTTGAGTTAACATCATAGAGGAACGCTTTTTTTCAGCAAAATTGTTTTAAATTAATGTTTCTAAAGTGTATAAAAATGGTTGGGTGGATTAAAAGCAATTCAGTTTCACATGAACCATTTGTCCACATGGAAATAAATATGCAGCACAATTACACGGCAGAAGGTACGAAAAGGTGTTGCTGAAATCATGAGAAAATGTAATACAGGCGGACGTCAGTCTCCACAATAAATTTGCATATGTCCTTTTTTGGGGGCAAATACAGTCATCATTTTAAATGAAGTCGAAGAGTTATTTCTGTAAACAAAACAAAAGTCCTCCTTGTCATACTAGACAGCAAGGAAGCAAAAATTGTTAGGGTCATGTCAAAAAGACTCAGGAGTCAATTTGAAGAGGTTCTGACCAGACAATAAATATAATAATAAAGATAAAAAATTGCAATTTATTGCAACTTGTCAAATGTTTAAATTCACAAGTTCATAATGATACTAAAAAACAAACTGATTTAGAGGATAATAGGAACCAGTTTATTTTCTTGAAAGCTGCAAAAATTGCAATTAAAACATTTATCCTGCCTTTCTTACATAAACTGTACAGTGAAGTAATCAAGTAGTAAAGGAGGGGAAACATCATTTTATTTTTTAAATTTTTAAAAATTTTTTGAGACAGGGTCTTGCTCTATCACCCAGGCTGTAGTGCAGTGGTGCGATCTCAGCTTACTGCAGCCTCACCTCCTAGACTCAAGAGATCCTCCCACCTCAGCCTCCTGAGTAACTGGGACTTCAGGTAAACACCACCATGCCCAGCTGATTTTTTCATTTTCTGTAGTCTCTTTATGTTGTCCAGGCTGGTCTTGAACTCCTGCGCTCAAGCGATCCATCTGCCTTGGCTTCCCAACGTGATAGGATTACAGGCATGAGCCACTGCACCTGGCCAGAAACATCTTTTTATAAACATATTCCAGCTAACCAATGAAAATAAAATGTACGGTGGCTCACACCTGTAATCCCAGCACTTTGGGAGGCCGAGGCAGGCGGATTGCCTGAGCTCAGGGAGTTCACGACCAGCCTGGACAACATGGTGAAACTCCATCTCTACTAAAATACAAAAAATTATCCGGGTGTTGCGGCATGCACCTGTAGTCCCAGCTACTTGGGAGGCTGAGGCAGGAGCATCCCTTGAACCCGGGAGGCGGAGGTTGCAGTGAGCTGAGATCGTGCCACTGTACTCCAGCCTGGGCAACAGAGTGAGACTCCATCTCAAAAAAAAAAAAAAAAGAAAAGAAAATGACAGAATTAAAATATAACCATTTTGTAATCCCCACCACCACCATGAATTAATGGATCTAGACAATGAACAACATCAACAGTTGCAAAAAGGACAACCAGAAATTATCTATCTTCTGATCAAGGATATTTGTAGTCTTGCCAGTGGATGGAACCCAAGTCTAATCAATCAAGCACTGGATCTAGTTACCATTTTGCAAGAGATACAGAGTAAAGAGGAGCATACTGAGCTGCAGTGCAAGTAGGAGATCAGCAAAATCCAGAGTGAGGACAGTATAGGTCAAGTGGCCCCAGTTCAACCACAGATAGATTACAAGGAAAAGAAAGGGGTGAAGGTGGAACCCCTAGATTAAAATGACATTAAGATTTTTTTTTTTAATAGGCAAGACTGTTCTAGTGCCTGGACTGTTTTGGTGATGAAAGTATAAAAAAATGCAAGAGATTATTGTGAAAGTCAGGATAGTGGTTACTTATGAGAGAGAAAGGAGAGGTGATTGGCTGGAGCGGATAGAAAGTTTTCTGGAGTAGCCGGCAAACTTCTATTTCTTGATCCTGGGTGATAGTTACAAGGACAGTTGCCTTATAATAATCCATTAAGCTGTGTATTTGTTTTTTGTCATTTTATGTATCTCTGTTTTATTTTTGTTTTTTAGAAAGCAATCATCTTAAAATGGGAGGTGACATCCTATGGTATCTTAGTGCTTGGGTTTTTGTAACTCTTGAAACTGAAAACTTACTCGATTTATTGGTGGCATCCTACTAGTCATGTTTTAAAGAGAGACACAGTTTTCACCTTGACTGCTTGAAAATGAAAACTTGAGTGCACAAGTATTTAGTGTACGGGCATCAACTCCATGTCAGCCTTTGCAGAGCCATTTTTATGTGAAGGAAATGTACTGAAATTTACTTGAATCAAATCCTCTGAAGTGTTGAGTCTAGTTCATTAGAGAACAGCATTCCTGTAAATTTCACTTTCACTCTTAAACTTAGAAAAACATAATTGAAGGGTTGTGCGTTAACAGAATGAGGATGAAATGGAGGATTCGGACAAGGAATGGTGATGCAGAGTGAGGATGGAGTACAGAGAAAATATTTAACTGTGAGCCCGAGGAGAGAAAGAAGAGACACTGCAGCATGAGAACTGTTTTCCCATTTTTCTTTTTTTGTGGGAAGAACAGCACCAGCAGACACTGTAAGATGTGTACAGGAAAATTGCTCTTTCCTCCTCCTAGGTTGCTGAGCAGTTCTAAAATTTGTGGTAGATCTTTAGGCACTAGAAACAGAACTTAGAGAAAAGATGTTAAAAGTTAGATTTTTAAGAAAGGGAAGAAAAAGGCTACGATGACTTAAAATGTCCTGAAATGAGGCTCTGCTATTTATCAGAAAAACAGGCTTCCTTCTTCTTAAGAAGGTGATTGTCTGTTCATAGACTAGGAGTCCTGCCCTGGGGTTCACCCAGCGTTGGAGCTTTTCTCCATGAAGTTAAGGACATTAATAAGATTTTTCTCTACCAAAGCAGAAGATGCTCTGAAGACAGCCTTTCATCCCTGTAGCTTTTGAGTTGCATCCAGTTAAAAACTTGTAGAACATAATGAATGTTTTTAGAGAGGAAATAAAATGAATGATGCCCGTGAATTTGTTTTAAACATTGTTTATTTTACCTAATAATTTATATAAATCTTCCTTGAAGAGGAAGAGAAATTACCAGATTTAATTAATAATTGGAAGCTTTTTAGAGGATTTACTTTGAAATACCTCCCTGCCAATTTTTCATAAATTAAGCATAAACTTTCTTTGACCTCATCACACATAATTAAATAGCTGTGGAAGGGTTAAAACCAACTAAAAAGCAATTCTGTATCTCAATCTCCATTCTCCTGCAAAACTTATACAGGAAGTTTGTTTCAGTTCTCAAGCAGGGTAATTACAAGAGACAGTTACATAATTTACACTTCCAATCTACTTGTCTATAATCACACACTTCTACCTAGTTGTATATACCCCCATGAGTATGTGTGTTGTACTTTGATTTGTAAATGATGATTGCAGTGTGATTGATTCCTTGCAATGTAGCATATTGAATTCATTTTTTAAAAATGAACTTTAGCTGTTAACATGTCTATTTGAGTTCCTGTTATTTACGTAGTTTGTGGTTCTTGTGTTCAGCAGTTGCATACCAGCTAACAAATTAAACTCCCAGAGCTTTTTTTCTCATTAAATTTGGAAAATAGAGTGTCTGTATACAACCTAAATAGAAAAGTACCTAGTACCTAGTAGGCACTCAACTGTTGGACATAGCACAAAACCATTTCAAGCCTTTGCAGGTGGAATGGAGATTCTTTGATTAACATAATATAAAGTCTCATGGGGATAATATTAGTATATTGTGGTGAAGCTCTGCTAATATTAATGTATTGTTACTGAAGTCTAAAATTTAGCCAAACAGTGGACAGAATAGCGGTTCATTCCAGGGGCTTAGAGAAATGTGTCATCTACAACCTAAGAGGTAGTCATTGCTGTCTTTAATGCTGCTGGTGACGATACTGCATATGTGTTTGTTTTTCTAACAGCTAACATCTACTGTAGCCAGTTTGGACTTTAAGATTCCCTAAGATTAAAGGCTAAGTCCCTGGCCGGGCGCAGTGGCTCATGCCTGTAATCTCAGCACTTTGGGAGGCTGGGGCAGGCAGATCACCTGAGGTCAGGAGTTCGAGACCAGCCTAACATGAAGCAACCCGATCTCTACTAAAAATACAAAATTACCCAGGCGTGGTGGTGCATGCCTGTAATCCCAGCTACTCGGGAGGCTGAGGCAGGAGAATCACTTGAACCCGGGAGATGGTGGTTGCAATGAGCCGAGATCATGCCATTGCACTCCAGCCTGGGCAACAAGAGTGAAACTCCATCTCAAATTAAAAAAGCTAAGTCCCTACATGACACCAAGTCCATGGGCAAACCAGCCAGTCACTTGTCTGGCCCCCCTCCCACCCTAGCTCCGCTACCCAGGGTGCCTTTGTGCTGCACAGCTTCAGAGGGGGCTCAGCAATAACCCTGGGGGGACACAACCATTGATCTCCAGAGGCTTCTTACCTCAAATCACGTTTCAAAGCATTTGGGAGATAAATAAAAAATAAGCGAAAAGAAAAGTAGACCAGTGGAGTGGGATTGTTTGTCTAGATAACCTGAGGACAACTAGCGACAGTTTCTCTTACATTTCCAACAGTGGTTGATCAGTCAGATTAGGTGATGGGCTGTACTTTGATTTTAGAAAGTTATCTCCAAAACTGACAGATTCCTTTTTGAAATGTACTTTGTTTGAAAACAAAGAAAATTTCTAAGGAGATTTGTATTCTCATTTTTTCTTTCTTCAATCTTGCTGTGTATTTTTGTTTGCTGTGTGAAAGCTCATCATCCAGAATTGGAATTACAACATACTTTGTCCTATTTTTAAAAATTACAGCTGGTACATACACACAACACTCCCTTCCACATATACACACAGCATTTTAGGGGGCTTGTAGGAGAGCAAATGGAAAGGCAAGTTGCTATTCCAACCATCCTGTCTCCCAAACCTGGTTCTGAAATCAGTGGTACTGCCATGATTATGTAAATAGCACCCCTCTCCCACCCTCCACCATCGGTCTGTGGGGTTGGACCAGACCAGATGACTAGATATTAGAATGAAGTGTCTCAGCTGCCTCAGTAGAACCTCAGACCTATAAAAGTAGGCAAAAGAAGTCTCAGTTTTTGCATTTAGTGATTTAGTTAAGGAAAATGTTCAATCGCAGTGTTTTCGCAGCAGGAGAACAATCTTAAAGGTAAAGCATTTTAAGTGCATGCAGTCATTTGTTTGGCGCAGATGCTTTATTTAAAGTGTATATGTGTTCGATTAAGTTTGCCATCTTAAAGCCTTTCAGTGGTAAGTTCTTGTTACCAGAATTTTGTAACTTAGACATGAAAATTTTATCCAAGTTTCAACTTGGGGAGCAAGCCTAGGGGGAGCCAGGTATTTAAAATGCTTTCTTTTAGTGAAAACTGAAGAATTAAGTTGTCTTCTATTTCAATTGTGTTATTTTCTATTTCAAAAACTATTTCTTTTTTTAATGAATCTCTAATGTAGACTTTTGCCTATTTATAAGAGAGGAAATAATTTTAAAATGCCAAATTACTTCATCTTTAAATTTTTAAAAATAAATGTGTTTTTCCTAAAATATCCTAGAATTTAAAAGTGGTTTGAACTGTGGAAAACTTAAAAGGTCAAAGAGGAAGACCTTCCTCTGCATGCCTTTCTAATTTCTGTCATGCTGAAGGCCATAGCACTGGGGCTTTCTCATTACCTAACTGAAAGTGCCTCTGGGTCACAAATCAGAGCATTAACTTAGTTTGGTGATAGGCAATGGGCTTCGTGAACAATTTGGTTACTTCAACAATTTGGTAAGCTATTCTTACATCAACATATTTTTAAAAATTCTTGCCTTCCCCAATTTTAGTTTGGGCATAAATGATACTGACAGAGTATAACATCTCTCATTCCATGATCATTTTATCTGTGTGGCAGGTGCCTCATTTTCCTAACAAGGAAATTGAAGGATGAATCTATATCATAGTCAGTCACCTTATTAAAAAATTTTTATTCTTCTAATCCACTAGACCAGGAACTCGGTTGTGGTGACACACCATACACTCACAAATACTCCTCAGTTGAATGTTTAATGAAATGAAACTCTGTGAAGTGTATCACACAGTTGTTTACGGAGTGGCCATCCTCCCCTGCGTCAGTTCAGAGATTTGCCTGCTGCTGGGATTTCTCATTAGGCACCACTGCTACCACTATAGCCCTGTGAGGTGGCAAAAATGAAGAAGTGGTGCTGTACCCCATTTAATATTCTGGCCCAAGTATAGTCCCCCAAGGCCCTTTCCTTACTGGGACCCATAATATATCTGAAACCAGGCAAGTCATGAGGTTGGGTGGAACACAGACATCTGTGGCTTTTTAAAGCCCCAAGTGAGTCTGATGTGCAGGCAGGGTCGAGAACCACTGGGCTATACTTGAAGACAGAAGAAGGAACAATAGGCCAGGTGCAATGGCTCACACCTGTAATCCCAGCACTTTGGGAGGCCGAGGCAGGAGGGTTGCTTGAGCCGAGGAGTTTGAGACCAGCCTGGGCAACATGGTGAAACCCCATCTCTACAAAAATACAAACATTAGCCAAGCATGGTGGTATGCACTTGTTGTCCCAGCTACTCGGGAGGCTGAGGTGGGAGGATTTCTTGAGCCCAGAAAGTTGAGGCTGCAGTGAACCAAGATCACACCACTGCACTCCAGCCTGGGTGATAGAGTGAGACCGTGTCCAAAAAATAAAAGAAAAAGGAGCAATTAATTCTCTCACTGGGTAAGAGAATCAGGTATAAATGCCATCTCACACAGATGTCTCTGGCCCTCAGGCTGCTTCCATGTGGCACGTGCTATCCTGGCACCTCCGGCTCAGGAGCACATCCACAGAGGTCTACGCTTCTCAACACAGGGGCGGTGCAGAGGGAGGGAAGTCCCCTTTCGTGCTGCCTGATGCCCTACTTGTGAGTTCATTTTCTTTCTGAGCACCTGTACCTTTCCCTGGGGGACTGACATGCAGAATGACCAACCCCGCAAGGGAGTCCACACCTACCCACAGAACCATGGAACCATCTGGTAAATCCCAGCATGGTCAGTCAGCTCAGAGACACAGGCACACCACACGGCATCGGGGAGTCACACTCCTGCCATACATCTTCCACTGTGGGAGTTGAAGGAAGACCATTCCACTCTGGAATGGACTTGAAAGGATGGGGACATTCAGTAAGAAAAATCAGTGGCCCTTTGGGGAAGAGCTCAGCAGTGGAGGTCTGCTGAGGAACTTGTGGGATCCCAGAGAAGAGAGATCTAAGAGTGGGGCTTAGAGTAACAGGCTGGTATGTGACCCAGGGCAGCCAGCCTCCTTCCCCAAAGACATGCTGTGTCCATGCTCAGGGTTTCACTGGGTCAGGCCATTTTCCCAGAGACACACTTGAGTCTTGTTGAATATTTGAGTCTTTCATCTGTCTTGGGACTGTCCCTGGGCTCTGCTGAAGCCCTAAGCAGTCATTGTTTCTGTGGTTGGATGGGCTAGCCATTTCCTAAGGGTAGTCCTTGAAGTTAAGGACTAAGGGGCCAAAGGGAATTTGGGGGCACAGAACTGTGTTTGCTGGGAACTTTGTTGCCATTTCTTAAGACCACTCCTGAGGCAGAATTTTTTTTCATAGCCTCTTTCTTTAATTCAATTGATATCTGGGTGGTTAGCTGGGGGGAGGGGAGAGGAAGGAAGGGTGGGATGAGAGGAGAGCTTCTGTCTGAGTTCATGGAATGGTTTTTAGGTTCCTCAGGCAAAAGTAGGAAAACAAAGTTAGCTTTTCTCAATCTGATTCTATAGAGCAGTCTGTCTCTGTTGTTTCCCTTCTGTCCAAATTTTATTTCTTTCCCCTACCTTAAGGATGTTTAGTTACCCAAATGATCACCTTGAGACTTGATTCATTCAGTATGTTGAATAATAATCATAGCTAACACTTATTAGGATTACTGTGATGCGTCAAGCACTGTTCTGCATGTTTCATATTAACTCAATCCTTACCAGAACTGTAACAGTTAGGTACAGTTATTATTCACATCTTATGGATGAGGGATCTGAAGCACAGAGAGGTTAAATAAAATCCCTGAGGTCACACAGCTGGTACATGGTGGACCCCAGATTCCATTCTGGGTAGTCTGGCTCCAGAGCCCATGCTTTCCACCCACCCATAGAGCCTCTCACGATCTGTCGTATTGTATGCAATATATGACATATTGTTTTAAAATACGGGTGCCCTGTTACCCAGCTTTAAAAAACTCATCTTTGTTTAGTGCACATGGTCTCAAAGTATGGTTCAGGGAGTCTACAAGGTCATAATTATTTTCCAAGTAGTACTAAGATACTCTTTTTCCTTTTTACTTTCATTTTCTCATGAGTATACAGAGGAGTTTTCCAGAATGTCATGACCTGTGATATCACAGCAGACTCAATACCAAAGCAATCTATGAAAATCTAGCAAGCTGGGTGCAGTGGCTCACGCCTGTAATCCCAGCACTTTGGGAGGCTGAGGTGGGAGGATCGCTTGAGCCTGAGAGTTTGAGACCAGCCTGGGCAACATAGGGAGACCCTGTCTTCTTGAAAAAGAAAAAGAAAGAACAAAATAAAGAGAGAAAGAGAGAATCTAACTGGCTTCTCTTAAGCCAGAAGTTAAAGAGATTTGTAAAACATGTAAAATAATGCCACTCTTTTCACTATAAATTTTATTTATATTTTAGAAAGTATAGGATTTTTTTTAATTTAAAAAAATGTTACATAATGGGTTTATCGTTATCTTTTAGATGAATTAATAAATATTTGTCAAATTTCTCAGTAAAATTAATAGATAGAGCCCTTAAAAGCAAAAGCTCTCTGAGTGCTGAGGCCAAAGCATTTGAAAACTACCGATTTAAAGTATAAACCATTGCTATTCAAGTGTGGTCCATGGCACAGGAAGTTGTTAGAGGTGCAGAATCTCAAGCCCCACCCCTGACCTACTGAACCGGAGTCCATGCTGTTAACCAGAACTAGTTTGTCTGCACAATGGAAGTTGAGAAGCAGAGGTGTAGAACATCTGCACGAAGCGATTTGGCAACTCAGTGACCTCTAGCCAAATTTCAGTCTGGTGGGGCTTTGGCGAGTCCATTCTCCAATTATCTTGCATCCAAGGAGCTGAGTGAGGTCTTACCTATTTGAGATTCTTCAGTCCTACTGTCTCTTAAGTGGCCACACCCTCATCAAAGCCAGCAGCTTCAGAGCAGGGTTCTAGTGGTGGTTTTCAAACTCGGGTACATCAGAATCACCTGGGGGACTTCTGAAAGCACAGATGCTGGGCTCTGCCTCTCCCCACCAAAGATCCTGATTCAGCAGGTCTGAGATAGGTTCTGAGAATTTAAAGTTCTAGCAAGTTCTCAGGTGATGTTGATGCCACAGGTCTCCACACTGAGATCTTGATAAACAGCATTTATTCAAGTTCTTATATAATTATGTCATGCCCATAGGACTTATGGGAGAGAGGTCTTAAACTTGTTTCAACACCAATCTCTTAAAAGTAAAATATATGAAAAATTCAAAATTTCCGTCTTTGCCAAGGAGGCACCTGTATCTTTTAATAAGTGGAAAGCAGTAAGATATCAGGCAGGTCACAGGTCATTTAGAGCACGGCTGTTCTCTTAAAATGATGTGAGAACTAAGGTTCAGCATCCTTCTGCACTAATTGCAAAATCACCACAAAATTTAAACGAGGAGATATAAATAGCCTGTCAAGTTCATTTGTCATTATTTAAACTGATAACATGCCATTCATCCAGTTGGTCAGTGCTGCTCTGCACCAGAAACCAGGAACAGATGAGCGTACAAACCAGTGAATTGCCATCTCCAAGCATGAGATAACTTGGTTAGAGTCATCAGATTTCCTGTGCTCAAAAGCTGCCATAAATCCCTGGCCTCGTGTCTGTTCCCAGGCTTGCAAACCCAGTGCCGTCGACTGATACAGACCTTTCAGCAGGATTTGCTGAGCTAAACAGGTGTCTGATGAAAAGTGTGTAATCCTCAAAGATTATCATCCCCTAAAAGCAGCTGGTGACCCCAAACTCACATAATCCAGAGAGATGGAAGTTGGGAGTGAGTAGCTTGCCAAAGTTTACACTTTGGTGTTTGAGGAGGTTCATATGGTTTGGTTTGGTTCCAGGTAGTGGAAGATGGAGGTGTGCAGGGGTGAGGGTGTCTGCCCCTGTCGGGGGAGATCCCTGTCCCTATCCATGCCCTTGCCTGAGAACATTATTCTACTATGGTCCATTTACACTCTTGAATACTCCTAGTTTAAAGGGAAGGAATTTTCATTTTCAATGAGCGTTAACATTACAGTTATTATGCTGGGAATTAAATTTAATTTGGGAATTTGGGTCTGCAAAAACATATCTTGACCTTGTCTAGATAGTTCCTTCCTTATCCTAATAGATCTGTCTACATGAGATAACTCTCTACCACTTTTATTTTCTCCCACTGGGAGAGAGTTAACCATTTCAAACTCAGGGCTAGTTAACATGAGATTTGATTCTTTTACTGCAAGTAGTTAAGCCTTAACAGAGGTGAGGCACACTCGGGTTCCATGCAGTACAGCTTAGAAATGCTTACTTTTTATAGACAGAAATCACATTGTTCTTCCTTTCCCTTTAAGCAGACATCTTGACAATCCTTTGAATTGATTATGTGGCCTGTATACTGAAAGTCAGATGTCACCTTCCCCAGGATAAGTACTTCCAGTAAAGCAAAAGAGGAAGCCAGCTTTTGCTACGATCAAGATAGTTGATGTGGATGAGGGGTTTATGGGCTACCCCGTTTTCAATTACAAGGCTCCCACTCACAGAGTAAGTGCTGTTGGCCAGCACCTCTGGCTCACAGACAAGTTCCAGGGAATAATTTCACCAGCGATTAATTATACTGCAGCTACTGGGATTTGTCCTCCAAACATCACTTTGTTTTCCATCTGAAACAGCCAGGTTTCTCCAGGGAGAGCTGAGGTTTTCTGATTGAAAGTATCCCGAGTTAAGGAGAAGTGTTAGAGCACCATGGGAATCTATTCACCAGGGGTGTACTGTACTTGTTTCAGATGCTTCAGGATAATACACCAGCTTCTAAGATAAGTGCTTTTTTTTTTTTTTTTTTTTTGAGATGGAGTTTCACTCTTGTTGCCCAGGCTGGAGTGCAATGGCATGATCTCGGCTCACTGCAACCTCTGCCTCCCGGATTCAAGTGATTCTCCTGCCTCAGCCTCCCGAGTAGCTGGGATTACAGGCGCACGCCACCATGCCCGGCTAGTTTTGTGTTTTTAGTAGAGATGGGGTTTCTCCATGTTGGTCAGGCTGGTCTCGAACTCCTGACCTCAGGTGATCTGCCCACCTCAGCCTCCCAAAGTGCTGGGATTACAGGCATGAGCCACCGCGCCCAGCCAAGATAAGTGTTTTTTATTTCCCTGCATCTTAGATCAATTATTTGGAATTTTTTTGGTAAGTTAAGAGCTGTAACTTAAACCACCACATCTCTATGATGTACTCAATAAGTGAAATGTTCTTACCAAAAATTTTTCTTCCAATGGGCTATATCATAATTATGTTGTGAAGAGCCTAGAAAAAAATAGAGGCCGGGCACAGTGGCTCACGCCTGTAATCCCAACACTTGAGGGACTGAGGTCAGGAGTTCGAGACCAGCCTGGGCAAAATGGTGAAACCCTGTCTCTACTAAAAATGCAAATCTTAGCCAGGCATGGCCACTGGCGCCTGTAATCCCAGCTACTCAGGAAGCTGAGGAAGGAGAATCGCTTGAGCCTGGGAAGCGGAGGTTGCATCGAGCCCATATCGCACCATTGCACTCCAGCCTAGGCAACAGAGCAAGTCTCTGTCTCAAAAAAAAAAAGTACAAAGAAACAAAAGGTGGCAAGAAATTCGTTTTTTAAAACATCGCATGTTATGAGGGTCAGAGTAGTGAAGTGCCACCAGCTGCAGCCTTCTGAGAGGAAGTGCTGCTGCTGGTTCAAATGGAATTCTGTCCTACATCCACCAAGCACGCCAGTGGAGTGGACATGACACACACTTTTCTTCTAAGCTGTACAGTTTAACATATTACAAGTGAGTTCATTTAACTAGTAAGGAATCAGAAATGTATCTTTGTTCATTTTGATCGTTTTGATGGATTCTGTTTTCTCTTACGTGAGTAGACTTTGTGGACTTCCAAATGGCTCCTGGCATAAGTGCCAGTTCCTGCTATTAGTTCCTTGAGGGTCTCATGAGTCAGAGAGGAGAGGGAAAAACCCACTGCAAGCCATGCAGGGGTCCCTTCGGATAGTGGCCTTGTGCAGTCTGCAGTGTCGGTGCACGTCATCCCTGCACACCCGCCTGCTGTGCTCTGGCTGGAGCTTGGGTTTGCAGTTGTCTTCTTTACAGCACCCAGGGAAGCATGGCCTCCTGGCAGGTGTTGGCCACTCCCTGCTTTCTCCTGGCCTTTGCAAGCACAGTGCAAGGGTGTTTGCTGAAAAAGACCACTGGGCTTTCAGTGTACCCACACCCATCAGGGCTGATCACCCTGCTGCCACCTCCCCAGGACTCTTCCGTGACTATCAGTCATAGCCTGAAGTCTGTGTCCAAGGGAGTGTCTCAGGAGACAGCCACTTAACATGGTAGGAGTAGCAGGTGCTAAAAGGTTTATGCCTAAATGCTCCCCATGGACCCCAAGTTGCCTGCTGGTTTGAGTGGCCTAACCCATTTAGGCTCAGGCCCTGACAGGGTGTGTGTGCACCACTTCGGGGTGTGAAAGCATGAACAGCTGCGGAAAGCGTGGGTTTTCTGATGCTGGCTGCTGCTGCCTTCCGGATTAGGGACTGTAGCGGGGAGACAGAACAAAGGAACACATGTGCTTCTGGGTAAGCTGGCCCATCATAGTGGGGGACATAAGGTATGGGGGGGCACATACCACCTTGGTATGAACACTTTGGTTGTACAGAATTCTTTCAGCAAGGCTGAGAGGAGTGGGGCTTTCTGTCCTTGACTGCTGGATTCAAATAAGCACCAGTAGAGGACCTGGGGACTTTCACACTCACTGCAGGGGACTTTCAATTGTGGGATCTCATGGACAAAAGGGAATGGTTCTA
Organism: Homo sapiens; assembly: GCF_000001405.40. Lineage (NCBI taxonomy): Eukaryota > Metazoa > Chordata > Mammalia > Primates > Hominidae > Homo > Homo sapiens. Next base: position 223,532 of record NW_009646202.1, read on the forward strand.
TATCCACGGCTCTATGGTTCTCACCCCCCCAGGAGTACAAAGCTGGGACCCCCCAGCCTCCTGGGTACGTTTCTCAGCATGTGCCAAGCACTTTGGAGGCAGGTGACGGATGTGCCAATTATCTGTATTCTGAGGTGTGGGCTCCCTTCATACTCTGGCAACACAGAGACGTAGAGAGCTCTTCTTCGTGTTGACAGGACACAATATGGGCTGGCTTCGGCACAGTGGCCATCACTGTGTTAGCATTCCTGACACACTGCTATTGAAAGCCCCAATCTGCTGCCAAATTACATGTAGACAGTGGTTTCACTGTAAAATGTTGCGGTGCTTGTTTGCATTCAGTCAAATACTTTGCACTTAAACATGGGTTAAAGAGACAAATAAGTCAAAAGACCTTAGCAAAACCTGAAGTTAAATTTACGCCTATTCTTCATAATGGCATTCAGATTAAAGCCATCAAAATGCAAAATGCTGTGATTATACCCTTCGAGGGTTCAGGCTGGATTCTTGTTTTGTATTTCTGCATTACTGTATTTGCAGTGATTTTGAGATGCAGGAAAATGCATCAGAGGCATTGATTTCTTCTTTAACAAAAAATAACCCTAAAATTGAGAAAATTCTTGAGAATGCAGCCATTTTGGAAATGTAGATAAAGAAGAAAAATGCTGAAGATTTGGGTGGTTTATGGAGCCGTATGATTTTGTCATTGCTGCCACCTACTGTATGTGGTTGATGTTTGTTTAAACTTAGGAAGTTCATGAAGGTGAGGCTGTTGAAATAGATAATTAGAGCAAGGTAGACATCATTAGCTTATAGCATTTCTTTTCTACCCCATAAGTGGCTCTTAATTACTGAGACAGCCGCCAGCTTTCATTCATTACCTTCAAGTGGATTTAAAGGGCTGGTTTCTTTTTTTTTTTTTTTTTCCATTTTTAAAGTTCCTTTGCCAAGGAACCTTCACAGTAATGCTGTAAAATGCGTTCAAAAGCTTAAGATGCTGGGGGATTTTCTGAGCATACATGCAATAGGTTGTTTTAAGGAGTTTGTTTTGTTTTGTCTTAATTTGTAGGAGCAATATTCTGGGATTGGATTGTAAATTAATTTCTATGAAAGAGGTGAAAATGGAGCTAGTGGAGCTGATGGGAGTTGCAGCAGTTGACTTGAAAGACATTCTTTTATTAGTCCTAAAACAAAGCTTCAGATCAACCTGCTAGTTAAATGTAACAAGCAATATAGACTCTGAGTCAACAGAGGTCCTTCTCTTTTTATTAAGACCCAGCTGTCAAAGGGTCATTAGGTCCTTCCTGTGGAAAACAACTTGCCCATTAATGTTGGGGGTGGTCCCTCGACAGGATTTCTGAGTAAGTGCCTGACATTTCGTTTTTGAAAGAATCTAAAGCTGTGGGAGACTTAGATGTTGAGACTTAGCAGGAGTAATGTCTTCAACCATAGCTTTTAGTCTTTGTTAAATATGTCACAATATGTGTTTGGAATGCTGCTGCTAGCTGCGTGAATTGACTTAGAGTGCCACTGTCAAAGATTCAGGAGCGTAAACTTCACGGAGATCAAATCACTATAACTGGGAAGAGGCTACATTCCTAAAGCGAATGCACTTCTCTGTTGTGATGTTTTTACCTTGTCACTACTCATATTATTTCTAGTGGCTCCTGTTCTAAGCTCTGGGAATGCCACAGTGAGGAATGCCCATTTATTTTTTCTGCCCTAGGCTATTTGCTTTCTAGAAGAGAAGGCCAAGCAGGGTCTCCTGAAAAGCCTCTCTCCGATCTGGGCCGTCTCTCCTACCTGGCATATTGGAAGAGCGTCATCTTGGAGTATCTCTACCACCACCATGAGAGGCACATCAGCATCAAGGCAATTAGCAGAGCGACGGGCATGTGCCCACATGACATTGCCACCACTCTGCAGCACCTCCACATGATCGACAAGAGAGATGGCAGGTGAGTCCTGGGACCCTGGGCAGCTCCGTGGCTCAGGCATCCCACACCAGAAAGGGTCCCTGGAGATAGGTGCATTCATTCCAGTTAAAGACTGAGGTTCCCTAACAGTATTATCAAACCTTTTCTCCTAAAAATAACACATGAAATGACACTTTTTTACTGGTTGGATTCCAGTGTTCTGTACCCTCTCATTGAGGTGCTTTCTGATTTTTCCTAACGCAGATAACATTAGTGCTAGCATATGTCCGTATGTGAAGCTGAAGTGAAATTTCAGCTTGTGATTACATCTTGTTCTGCCTTATCACATTACAGATTTGTCATCATTAGACGGGAAAAGTTGATATTGAGCCACATGGAAAAGCTGAAAACCTGTTCCAGAGCCAATGAACTTGATCCAGACAGTCTGAGGTGGACCCCAATTTTAATTTCTAATGCTGCAGTGTCTGAAGAAGAGCGAGAAGCTGAGAAAGAGGTAATGATTGTCTTTATCATCCTAAGTTGTGTAACTTCAATCTTGTAGCATTCTTAAGCTAAGAAAGTCATTAAGATCGTTGTCAAAAGCTTGGTTATGTAGAGATAGCATGTGAAATGATATGGCACTAATTTATCCTAACTGAGGTTGCATGGTAAGACATGATAATTTTATTGAATTGAGTATGAAAAATGAAACATTTATCATTGATTACAAAGCAGCATTTTTCACTACTGAGAGCATGTAATCAGATCAAATTCGGTGCTGAGCTCCAAGGCTGCAGTGTCAATTGATTCTTTGTGTTTATGAACTTGCTTAAAGTGCTCCTTGCCAGTGAGCATGTAATGTAGTGATAAAGGACTCAAATCAATTCGCTGCATCATTAATACTGTTAAATATCCCATGAAACCCAATCTTCTTTGATTTGTTATCCTAACTGATGCAAAAGGTTCCTGAGATGATGCAGCTGGAATGTGCTTGGCTGGCTGGCTGTCCTGATCAGAACCGACTTAGAGACACTTTGCCATTGATCCTCAGAGGCTCTGGCTGTGTAACTGCCCTCTCACTGGCCACCATTTTTACCCTCCCCACTTAGGCTGAGCGGCTAATGGAACAAGCTAGCTGCTGGGAGAAGGAGGAACAAGAAATCCTGTCAACTAGAGCTAACAGTAGGCAATCACCTGCAAAAGTACAATCGAAAAATAAATATTTGCATTCCCCGGAGAGCCGGCCAGTCACAGGGGAGCGAGGGCAGCTGCTGGAGCTGTCTAAAGAGAGCAGTGAAGAAGAAGAGGAGGAGGAGGACGAGGAGGAGGAAGAAGAGGAGGAAGAAGAGGAAGAGGATGAAGAGGAGGAAGAAGAGGAAGAAGAAGAAGAAGAAGAAGAAAATATTCAAAGCTCTCCCCCAAGATTGACGAAACCACAGTCAGTTGCCATAAAGAGAAAGGTAGGTGTCTGTTTAGATTTTCTGTGAGTCGCGTTCAATCAAATCTTATTTGTCATTGCAGACATTCTGTCTATTAGTATTTGTTTCACTCTCTGTTCTTTAGTCGTAGTTTATGTGTACCCAGTCCCGCTGATCATATATCATAATCGTTTATCTCACAGTCATGATTATGTTTACTTTTCAGGTTTGTTAGTGCGGTGACAGGAAACCAGGGACAGGCCAGCCTCCTAGTCTAGTAGTCACTGCCACCTGCTGGTCTGCAGGAGTAGAGTAACTGAGGTTTATGGGAACAAAAAGGGGCCCCAGAAAGCACTTAAACCACCCTCCAAGACCTAGAGGCCAGGAGACTTCTCTAAGGTCATATGACTCATTAGAGATGGAAGCAGAACCAAATGCGTGCTCAAGACTCTAAGCCTGGGTTGGGCGCAGTGGCTCACGCCTGTAATCCCAGCACTTTGGGAGGCCAAGGTGGGCAGATCACCTGAGGTCAGGAGTTCAAGACCAGCCTGGCTAACGTGGTGAAATCCCGTCTCTGCTAAAAATACAAAAAATTAGCCAGACACGGTAGTACGCGCCTGTAATCCCAGCTACTCGGGAGGCTGAGACAGGAGAACCCAGGGAGGCAGAGGTTGCAGTAAGCCGAGATCGCACCATTGCACTCCAGCCTGGGCAACAAGAGCGAAACTCTGTCTCAAAACAGAACAAAAAGACTCCAAGCCCAGTGCTCTTCATGCTGTTTCTTTCTCTTGTTCTTGGCACAGAATTGTTAGAAAGCATTTTAGGCCCTTAATTTTGATGGTGATATTTTGCATTTGTGGCCAACTGCGCATTACTGAATCTCCTCAGATCTTAGTAGCCCAGTGATGTCTCTAGATAGACCATATCATCTCCAATGGTACAGAAAGTAAAGAATTGACTTTGTTTTTAGGTAACTGCTCACCCAGATCTGATATCTTTGTCTTCAGTATCTATCTGGGACATAGAGGAGAGCCAAGACTGATAGAGATATCACAATACAAGCTAAGGCTCCGCCCCAAGGCCATCTGATGTGGCATCTGTTAGGGAACTTGCTGTTCTAACTCCCAGCTCAGCGCTCTTCTAGGCCTGGCAGTCTTCTGGAAGGGTCTCCATGGGGAGGTGGTAGAAAGGAGCATCCCACAAAGTAGACTTCAGGCTTAAGAATAATGTTTCCATTTCTTAGGAGGAGTGTGTATTCATGTGTTGTATATATAATAAAAGAAATTTGTTCTAAAACTATCAAAAACCAGAATCATCCAAGGCATGATCTGAACTGGACTCAACCTGAAGAAAACCAGTTCTCTACCTTGGCTTCCCTCATATTAGGGAAAATTCTCATGGATTAAAGAGGGCAGGCAGACTGGGGGGAATAATAACCGTAAATGTTTAATTACAGAATATGATTAACTGGCTACGTGTGTGCTTCAGTGAGCATTCAGAGCGTTAACAAAAGTAAGACACAAGAATTCTTGGAGGCCGGACACAGTGGCTCACGCCTATAATCCCCACACTTTGGGAAGCTGAGGCAGGAGGATCATTTGAGCTCAGGAGTTCAAGACCAGCCTGGGCAACAAAGCAAGACTCTGTCTCTATAAAAAATAAATAAGTATTTTTAAAATAATAATAATAATAATTGAATACAGTTTACCTGAAGGTTAGCTTTTAACCAAGCATATTGAACCCTTCTTTGCAGTGTATTTTCAATAATTTGGGGGGCAACAATTACATCTTAGCAGCAAATCTACCTGCTATTCCTCTATTTGAATTTTGTGTCATTAAAAACTTTTTTGCTGGGCGAAAAACATTTTATAATTACAATTATGGACAGTCATTTGTGCCAACCTTTAGTGCAAACAGAAAAAATATTTTTAGGCCAGGTGCGGTGGCTCACACCTATAATCCCAGCACTCTGGGAGGCCAAGGCGGGTGGACCACTTGAGCTCAGGGGTTCGAGACCAGCCTAGGCAACATGGCAAAGCCCTGTCTCTACAAAAAAGAAAAATAAAAGAAAAAAATATTTTTATATCATACAAATAAGACATCTGGCATGTCTTTAACATTTTTAGATTCCTTCTATTAAAATATTTTGCCAGGTTATCAGTTGCTCACATCTCAGCAGCCACCAATACTTGACTTTGTTAACATTTTAAACAGTAATCCTTTCTTCAGGTACCTTTCCTTTCCTTTTCATAGCCCTGAAGTCCTATGGAATGAGAAAAAGTAGGCTGGTCTTGTATCATATTTCCCAGTGCTGTCCACATAGTGGGTGCTCCTTCAAGAGTTCTCAAGTATTAAATGGGTTAACCCAGTGGCTAGTTAATTACAGCACCATTTATAAAGACATTAGAGTCTGTGATGACCTTAAATGTCTGTGATGTGAGGAATATTGAAGCCAGCAAGTACCATTGGAAAAATATATGCTAGAAAAGCAAAGCTTAGTTTTTAAAATCTCCAGTCAAGCTGCTAGGATGTTCCCTCTCAGAGCATCTGCTTGAGTAAACAACTGTTTTATTTGGAAAACACTTGCCTGTGTAGTTGGAGCCCGAGAGGGATGTTAGACATCAAATGGAAGGTTAAGTACAAAGGCATTACAGAAGTCACCACGTGTAAGATTCTCAGACACGCGTTCAGTACATGTCTACTGCATATCGACTCAACCATTTAATTTCTCATGAGCTCTTATGTGTTATGTTTGGAATTAATTTCAGAGGCCTTTTGTACTAAAGAAGAAAAGGGGTCGTAAACGCAGGAGGATCAACAGCAGTGTAACAACAGAGACCATTTCAGAGACGACAGAAGTACTGAATGAGCCCTTTGACAACTCAGATGAAGAGAGGCCAATGCCACAGCTGGAGCCTACCTGTGAGATTGAAGTGGAGGAAGATGGCAGGAAGCCAGTCCTGAGAAAAGCATTCCAGCATCAGCCTGGGAAGAAAAGACAAACAGAGGAAGAGGAAGGAAAAGACAATCATTGCTTCAAGAATGCTGACCCTTGTAGAAGTAAGTAGAGGAATGATAAAAACCTTACCCTTGAGAATGTCTGTATCTGACTGGGTGCCAAAGAGCAGGCCTCTGGCGTGATGCCCAGAGGCACCTGCGAAGTGGTGCTGATGCACCTGGAGCAAGTGCCCATCTGCCCTTTCCCATCCTTACAAGCTTCTCTCCCTTCTTCCTGGAATTGGATTTTATGTTAAACAACTTCTAAGGCCAGAACATTCCTCTAGGTGGGTTCATCTTACTTACCAGAAATTGGCTTATCCCCAAAAACTTTGAAGTCTGTTGACAAGAAACACATTACATTTCTTTGATTCTAATATGTACTTTTTTTTTTCACATTTAGTTATTTCTGAAATCAAGGTATATATTATTATCAGTGTGAGCATTGAATGGAATCGTTTCTTTTTTCCTGGAAAACAAATATTAGTAAATCAATAGTACATTTTATAATCAGTAGTGTCGTAGTATATACTACTATAAAGATTCATCTAAACTAAGCTGGGCATGATGGCTTACACCTGTAATCCCAGCACTTTGGGAGGCTGAGGCAGGTGGATCACTTGAGCCCAGGAGTTTGAGACCAACCTAGGCAACATGGCAAAGCCCCTACTCTAAAAAAAATACAAAAATTAATCAGATGTAGTGGTGTGCACCTGTAGTCTCAGCACTTTTGGAGACTGAGGCAGCTGGATCACTTGAGCCCAGGAGTTTGAGACCAGCCTGAGCGACATGGCAAAACCCCATCTCTACAAAAGATACAAAAATTAGTCAGCAGTGGTGGTGTGTGCCTATAGTCCCAGCTACTTGGGAGGCTGAGGTGGGAGGATCACCTGAGCTCAGGGTGAGCCATGATCGTGCCACTGCACTCCAGCCTGGGTGACAGAATGAGACCCTTTCTCAAAAAAAAAAAAAAAAAAAGGAACCATCTAAACTTACCCACACATCAATATTAGCTTTGATAATATTGCATAACATAAAAATCAGTAAACTGACTTTCCTTTTAAGTTGACAGGGACACCTCTACCCCATCCTCTAAAAAATACACTGAACACCAGTGAATCGTCTTTAAAAGCACCCATCCTTGCCTGTCAGGTTGAGAACGTGTGCTCCCAGCTGAATCATGAGGGTTTATGGTATACTCTCTCTATTCCCTGGCCAAGATGACTCTATTCAGAACTTACTTTAATCTGGGGAACAGGCCATCTCATTTCCCTGGGAACCACAGGATCACTCTAGCTTTTGAAAAGCCACAGTTTTAAGAACATATGCAAGCATCTTCTTGATTTTCTTAGTTCACAGAAATGCTATTCCTGCATACAGTATTTTGCTGAAGGAATGACTTCTTACCCTGGGTATAGAGAAACCAAGCCTTATTCTTTGGGTTTTTTTTTTTTAAACAAATAACAAACTGCAGTGAGCGATCATTTTGTGTGTGAAAATGAGGTTTATTTCCCCTTCTTGGCTGTCTTCTCATATTATGCCTGATTCCTTTCAGGATGTCCTTCTTTCTTAAAAATAATTGTCAGAAAGCTCATCTTCTGATTTTGGGAGGTGTTCCAACAAAAGCCGGTAGGTCCAGTAGCACGTAGAATAAGAATGCAGAATCCAGCCAGGCATGGTGGCTCATGCCTGTAATCCCAGCACTTTGGGCGGCCGAGGTAGGCAGATCACCTGAGGTCAGGAGTTCAAGACCAGCCTGACCAACATGGTGAAACCCCATCTCTACCAAAAGTACAAAAAAATTAGCTGGGTGTGGTGATGCATGCCTGTAAGTCCCAGCTACTTGGGAGGCTGAGGCAGGAGAATCGCTTGAACCTGGGAGACAGAGGTTGCAGTGAGCCGAGATCATGCCACTGCACTCCAGCCTGGGCAACAGAGCAAGACTCCGTCTCAAAAATAAAAAGAATGTGGAATCCGGGGGCACTGGCATGGCTATTACCTGCCATTGTGAATAGAAATGTCCTGAGATGACTCTTAACTCGGGCATGGTACTCGGCACTTCTCAAGGAAACATTCTACATCACATATGTGTTCTTTTCAGCTGGTCGGTTTGAATGTAATACTTGCAGGTAAGTTTATCTGTAATCCTTTTATTACCTAAATCAGCCAGTGCTTACTCTGCTGTCCACCAGTTGGACTAGAACTCACTCTATTCTGGCAGAAGGGATATCTGTTTTATGATGATTGTGAGATCTTATTTTTATTCTCCAAAATAGAGTTTCTAATAAGACTATTGTTCTATATAAAGCTTTTCCTTTAAATTGACCACTGATTCTAGAAGATTGGTGTAATCTAAAGATCTTAAGAATACTTGGGTGCTTCATGCATATATTTATTAATATATATTTATTAATATGTATATAGCTATTCATCTGCTTGTATAAATATGTACATATTTACATTTATATTAACATGTGCATATAGGTTCAGTAAAAAGCTCACCTGAACTGAAATGAACTTCACAATTATGGTTTGTTTCTAAGTGTCTTTAATATGCAAACCTTACATCAGCAACATATTGATCCAGAATTCAGTGTGGACAGAATTAGTGTTAAAAAGAATACCTGTATTTTAAATGTTCAGGAATTTGCTAGTAATTACATTGTAGTTTGTATCATGCAAAAATGATGATCCTAAAAATGATGATTACAAATGCATTTGTTTTGGGTATTTAGTTATTTACTGATTTGTTTCAGAGGTACACAGCTTATTTTTATGCCAGAGAGAACATTCAAATCAAAGTAAATAAATCATGTCTTCCAAGATCATTTACATCCTATAAATGTCCACAAACAGAGGTTTACTTTCTCTAGGTAGATATGAGAGTTAAGGCTTCTAGTCATTTTTCCAGGACAGTAATGATTTGTATATAAGCTAGCATTAATTCCTTTCCCCTATATTTCCTAATTTGTAAATGTTCAAATTGATTTTTTTTTTTACACTGTGGAACTCTGGGCTTTTGCATCAGAGAATGTCTTGTTCATTAAATTCAAATAAGCACATTAGCATTGCCTATATCCATGTGTTCCCAATATGTTACTCTCCCAGGCCTAGGTTATTTACTTGGTTTATAACACAATATTATTACACATTAGCCTTGATTATGTCTTTACCATCAACTTTTAACATGCCAAATTGAAAGCAGTGTTTGCTAATTAATTTAGAGGAATGAATTCAAGTTGCCCATGGTTATGCTTTCTAAGACTGTTTTTTTTCCTTCCCGTTTTTGTCTCTTCACTAAGACAATATGAATGATGATTCAAGTAACTTGAAAGAAGGCAGTAAAGACAATCCCGAACCTCTAAAGTGCAAACAAGTGTGGCCAAAAGGAACAAAGCGCGGTCTATCTAAGTGGAGGCAAAACAAAGAGAGGAAGACCGGATTTAAACTGAATTTGTACACCCCGCCAGAAACACCCATGGAGCCTGACGAGCAGGTAACAGTGGAAGAACAGAAGGAGACTTCAGAAGGAAAAACCAGCCCCAGTCCCATCAGGATTGAGGAGGAGGTCAAGGAAACTGGGGAAGCCCTGTTGCCTCAAGAGGAAAACAGAAGGGAAGAAACATGTGCCCCTGTAAGTCCAAACACATCACCAGGTGAAAAACCAGAAGATGATCTCATCAAACCTGAGGAAGAGGAAGAGGAGGAGGAGGAGGAAGAGGAAGAAGAGGAAGAAGAGGAAGGGGAAGAAGAAGAAGGAGGAGGAAATGTAGAAAAAGATCCAGATGGTGCTAAAAGCCAAGAAAAAGAGGAACCAGAAATCTCCACGGAAAAAGAAGACTCTGCACGTTTGGATGATCACGAAGAGGAGGAGGAAGAGGATGAAGAGCCATCCCACAACGAGGACCATGATGCCGATGACGAGGATGACAGCCACATGGAGTCTGCCGAAGTGGAGAAGGAAGAGCTGCCCAGAGAAAGCTTCAAAGAAGTACTGGAAAACCAGGAGACTTTTTTAGACCTTAATGTGCAGCCTGGTCACTCGAACCCAGAGGTCTTAATGGACTGTGGCGTCGACCTGACAGCTTCTTGTAACAGTGAGCCCAAGGAGCTTGCTGGGGACCCTGAAGCTGTACCCGAATCTGACGAGGAGCCACCCCCAGGAGAACAGGCACAGAAGCAGGACCAAAAGAACAGCAAGGAAGTCGATACAGAGTTCAAAGAGGGAAACCCAGCAACCATGGAAATCGACTCTGAGACTGTCCAGGCCGTTCAGTCTTTGACCCAGGAGAGCAGCGAACAGGACGACACCTTTCAGGATTGTGCCGAGACTCAAGAGGCCTGTAGAAGCCTACAGAACTACACCCGTGCAGACCAAAGTCCACAGATTGCCACCACGCTCGACGATTGCCAACAGTCGGACCACAGTAGCCCAGTTTCATCCGTCCACTCCCATCCTGGCCAGTCCGTACGTTCTGTCAACAGCCCAAGTGTCCCTGCTCTGGAAAACAGCTACGCCCAAATCAGCCCAGATCAAAGTGCCATCTCAGTGCCATCTCTGCAGAACATGGAAACCAGTCCCATGATGGATGTCCCATCAGTTTCAGATCATTCACAGCAAGTCGTAGACAGTGGATTTAGTGACCTGGGCAGTATCGAGAGCACAACTGAGAACTACGAAAACCCAAGCAGCTACGATTCTACTATGGGAGGCAGCATCTGTGGAAACGGCTCTTCACAGAACAGCTGCTCCTATAGCAACCTCACCTCCAGCAGTCTGACACAGAGCAGCTGTGCTGTCACCCAGCAGATGTCCAACATCAGCGGGAGCTGCAGCATGCTGCAGCAAACCAGCATCAGCTCCCCTCCGACCTGCAGCGTCAAGTCTCCTCAAGGCTGTGTGGTGGAGAGGCCTCCGAGCAGCAGCCAGCAGCTGGCTCAGTGCAGCATGGCTGCTAACTTCACCCCACCCATGCAGCTGGCTGAAATCCCCGAGACGAGCAACGCCAACATTGGCTTATACGAGCGAATGGGTCAGAGTGATTTTGGGGCTGGGCATTACCCGCAGCCGTCAGCCACCTTCAGCCTTGCCAAACTGCAGCAGTTAACTAATACACTTATTGATCATTCATTGCCTTACAGCCATTCCGCTGCTGTGACTTCCTATGCAAACAGTGCCTCTTTGTCCACACCATTAAGTAACACAGGGCTTGTTCAACTTTCTCAGTCTCCACACTCCGTCCCTGGGGGACCCCAAGCACAAGCTACCATGACCCCACCCCCCAACCTGACTCCTCCTCCAATGAATCTGCCGCCGCCTCTTTTGCAACGGAACATGGCTGCATCAAATATTGGCATCTCTCACAGCCAAAGACTGCAAACCCAGATTGCCAGCAAGGGCCACATCTCCATGAGAACCAAGTCAGCGTCTCTGTCACCAGCCGCTGCCACCCATCAGTCACAAATCTATGGGCGCTCCCAGACTGTAGCCATGCAGGGTCCTGCACGGACTTTAACGATGCAAAGAGGCATGAACATGAGTGTGAACCTGATGCCAGCGCCAGCCTACAATGTCAACTCTGTGAACATGAACATGAACACTCTCAACGCCATGAATGGGTACAGCATGTCCCAGCCAATGATGAACAGTGGCTACCACAGCAATCATGGCTATATGAATCAAACGCCCCAATACCCTATGCAGATGCAGATGGGCATGATGGGCACCCAGCCATATGCCCAGCAGCCAATGCAGACCCCACCCCACGGTAACATGATGTACACGGCCCCCGGACATCACGGCTACATGAACACAGGCATGTCCAAACAGTCTCTCAATGGCTCCTACATGAGAAGGTAGACAACGTGGGCAGTCCACAAAACCTACGGGGCATCACTATTGGATTGATCTGCACAAATACCTTTGAAGAGTACGATTTCAAAACCAGCAATTGGTGTGAATGCAAAAACATTTGTTGGCACCATTTATTTAAAAAAAAAAAAAGCTGTATGCAGCAGAAAGCCTTATACAAGTTGTTTTTCTTTTTTTCCTTTTTCTTTTTTTTGGTACCTTCATTTCTGTTACTTTTATATAAAATTCTCTGCAAAGGAAGGCCTCTCTTTGGACTACAATTTGGAGGCAGCCACTTGTTGTGCCTGCTTCTGTTAAACAATGTGGATATCAAGCCCCCCCAAATTATCTGTTTTAATATTGAACCTAGAGCTTTTTTTTTCCCTTCCCTGTCCACTCCATGTAAATGCCTTTAGCATTTCAGTTATTGTATATTTTGTTTAAGGTGACACTTCAGCATGCCGCTAATGTCTTTGTTAGTGACAGTGCATTTTGTAGTACTGTACAAGTGTTGTGCTAACAGTAAGCCATTTCTTAAGTTTTTTGCCTTGATTAGGGTGCCCTAATTTGAGGGTTTTAAAAAAAACTATATTTTTGTTAATTATAAAACTGTAAAGAGCTATAAAAGCTATTCCCATTTGGTTAGTCAAAAGGGTTTTATTGCTAAATGTTTGGTGTAAAGTTGAGACCCTTTTCCATTTTGGTGACAGATTTCTTTGGGGAAAAAAGGCAGCTTTCTGTTTTATAAATGCAGACTTCTGTTTATTGAATGAAGCATATCTCAGTGTTTATCTGTCAGGTTTTGAAACATTTCATATATGTCCAAATACTTGGCAGGATTTAAAAAAAAATAGTGAATTTGGTGTAAAGTTGCTATTTTATGGAAATGCCTCTAACTTTACATTTTCATTCCATCTGTAGATTTTTCTATCTTTATAAAATATTGGAGTTATTTTTTAAGGAAAAATAGAAAAGTAGCTTGTGAATAGCTCAAACTAAGCTTACAAATCGCATGTAAAAAAGCAAAAAAGTTATTTGTGTCTGTTTATATTGCTTCCTTTTTTGTAGCCTTTGTACCTGTACAGGGTGACAGTAAGGGCCAAGCAGGAGAGGCGTAATCCTTGTATAAAATAGGATCCAGCGACACTCTTGTATTTATCTGTTCTCTTTTTAGTCAGTCACTTCAAAAAAACAAAAAACAAACAAAAAAAAGCTGTACATTTTAACATAAAATAAATTATGATGAGCCATTTTTAGCCTCTTGTGTCCTGTCATATTATGATTGATAGAGAATGACCAATGGAACTGTATCATGTGTCACGCCTCAGAACACATACACATTTTGGGAAAATAAATTATTTAGTGTAAATTGGAGTTATGGGATTTTCTGATTTGTTTTGACTTTGGGGGAGGGGTTGGCAATAAATAAGAGTAATATCTAATAAAACCATCACATATACCAAATACCTATTTAATAAATTAATTTATAATGGATTTTAATGCTTTTCATGAAAGTTTATTTTATGCGAGTGCATACCTTCTGTATGCCAATCATTGTCTTTAAAATAAAGTGAAATTGTTTTTTTCTTTTGGACTTTGATCTTCATTTGCAAAGAGATCCCGCACAAATATCCAGCTGCCTCACTCGCACAGTCTGTAGAAACATCCCTCCAAGCCTCGCACCAGGGTAGCAAACTTCCTTTTTATAAAGATTCATACCAAAAAAAGCACCCAATTTGGGATTGTATGTTTGAAAAATCATTTTCTTTTTAAAAAGTGTGAACGTTTTGCTCTGTTGTGAATGATTAATTGTATGTTTTCTTTAGAGTCTAAAGTTTAGACCCCCTGCCAAAAGTGAATATTCACAAGTATAGCGTTCAGAGAAAGTTCTGAGTGTTGCTTGAATTTGGTTATTTGAGCAACAAGTCTAGAAATGAATGCTTGACCTAGCACCCGTGTGAAACTAGCCCGTTAAGCTCTCCAGGTGTCTGAACACGTGTGCTCGCAACTCCTCTGTTAAGCAGGTCACTACCCTGTGGAGGAAAAAAGTTGCTTTTGCACTGTTGATTCAACACACACACACAAAAATTAGATGTTTTACAAAGCATAGACATAAGCCTTAAAGTGGACCCAAAATCGTGCAAGGGCAGGATAGAGCGTACACACCAGAATAAAAGGCCTTGTGCAGACAGAGGGTGCCCAGTGGAGTTCTGCCTTGTACTCTCACCCTTATCGTTATTTTCTTTCACAGTTACAAAGTGTATTGGGTTTAGTGTCACAATTTTATCTTTTAGTCCCTTCCTTCCTCAACTGCAAAGTCAATGGGGGTAATATATGTAACAGCTGAGGGAGGGCTTTCAAGAAGACACGTCTGAAGGGCCGTCAGCACAAAGGGAAAAGATCCATTTAAGCTGCTGTGCTAATAGGAAAAGAAACCTATCAGCCATCCTCAGAGTAGGAAGTGGTGGTCTATGCCTGCACAAATCGAACACTGCGTCCATTCAGGAGTGGCCAAGGACTGGGCAGCCCAGTGGGCCACACATCGGGCAAGAGGCTGCCCGAGCCCTGGAGGTGGGGTTGGGGCCTGGAAGCAATCTGATCGGGAAGCAGAGCCCCGAACGGGCTCCGACCTGTCACATATTTTGTCTCTTTCCTCTTGGGTTAAGATTCTCTGGGGGCTGAGATTCCCCTCTGTGTTCCCTTTGGCCATGACCTGCTAATCACACCTTGTGGTTTGTGCGATGTCTGAGTTCCCATACCCTGCCAGCCTAACAGCCCTCTAAAGGAGCTTGTGGAAGAGTCCCAATCATTGCCCCAGACCTGCCAAACCCTAATCTTAGAACAGTCCCAGGGACACCTCGGTTGCCCAGGCTCCTTAAGGACTGCAGCATAGCTAGGACTAGGAGCTTCCGTGCTGGCCCCAGTCCCAACATTCCTTGATGGAACAGAAAGGCTTAGCATAGGAAGGAAACTGCTGATCTGAGATGGCCTCAGAACACCCTGCCCTCCACCTCACCCACTCTCACTAGAGAAATCAGTTCACATCTGAATGTGACGCCAAGGATTTGGCGAAACAGGAACTTGGATTCATCAAAGCTGAATTCATTCGATTGAGATTCATTAACAGGCCACATCATTTAAACCCTAACTGTGTTCTATTATTTGTAAGAGTCGTACCAAGTGGTGGTCAGTTGCCAGCCTCACGTTTTAATAGTTGCAAGTGGTGCCTACGCCAGGTGGGAGGGCATCCACCTTCCTCACCAACATTCTATTTTAGAAGTAATGACTCACAATATCGTCACAAAGCTTTCACAAACTCCTCCCACACACCCACCCTGTGCAGGAAATGGGGCCATTCTTTCCAATGTACAGATCAGGATGTTGAGGCTCAGATTAAGCTACATTAATTACCCAAACTCACCCAGCTAAAATGTGTGAGCTGAAACAAACCCAGGTCTTTCCAAATCCCAGCTCTTTTTTTCTAGGACACTGTATTCTGAAAGGCCCTAATTTGTCACCTCTCTGATTTAAAGGCTTGGCTAATGAATACATGTTGCTGTAAAAACTGTTAAGTGCTATATAAATACAGATCCCTTTGTGGCTGCGAGCAAGCCTTGGTCTACAATCAATCTTCGATACTCAAAGTACACGTACTGTTACATTATGAAGCAGCACCTTCCATTTCTCTGTACCCAGGTTTCCATCGTTCCTTCTACCTTCTCCATCCCCTTTCCTGGACCTTCCTCCTCCACCCAGGCTTACCTATAAACATTGATGTTCTGCAACACTCAGGCCGGGAGTGTTCTCTCTGTTTTCTCTCATCATCTCATCTAGTATGATGACTTCAAATTCCACCTCTCTGCAGGTGACACCCGGAATTACATCCCCAGTTGTGAATATTCCTCTGAGCTTTAGATGCCACGTCAAATGACCTGGGACACCTTTTGTACATCTGCATGACAACCGAACTGGTGATTTCCGACCGCTCCTCCGTTCCTGCTCTGGTCCATCCCATCTCAGTGTTAAAGCACTGCCGAGAAACCTCGATCAGTTAGCCCTCATTTCCCTCCCCATCTCGGGAGGTCCCGTCCGTTTTCTGGGTTAATTCCAAAATAATCTTGAATACTAATCCCCTGGTGCTGTCAGTCCAGCCCATTTCCTTTCCTGTCAACAGCCTCCTAACTGCTCTTGCCTCGCTTCTTAACTCCCTACAACCTGTTCTCCATACTTCAGCCAAAGGATCTTTCCAGAGTGATCTTGAAACAGATCATACCATTCCCCGGCTTAAAACCCTTCAGTGAATCTTCTGTGTACCTGGAATAGAATCAAGTCCCTCTGCCCCTCTCCTTCCACTCCCACTCTCAGCCACCAGCTCCAGCCTTACTGATGGGCAGTTCCTCAGCCTCGAATGCTCCGGCACATTTGGAAGGTTTGTGCCTTCAAGTCTAAGAGAGGTCTTCCTTGACCACCCCGCCTAAAGAGGGTTTCTCCCCTTTCCCCACTTTTCTCTGCCTCCATGCCTATTTCCTGCATTGTGCTCTATCACAATGTGCATTTTCATTTTTCCTGTTGGCCCCTAACCCAGGTTTTGGCATGTGGTAGGTTCTCAATAGACACTTGGTGACCAAACAAATATTTCATATCTTATTTCTGAAGACTTGAAACACTTTTGCAAAAACTTCTGTTCCTCCTTTCTCCTGCTTCTGGCTCCCAGGAGTCATGTAGAAGAGACCAGAACCGCAACTTTGCCATTCTCAGCTTCTGTTGCCTTCAGCAGGACCCAGAGTCCCACAAAGAGATGAGAGCATGAGGAAGGTGTGGGGTGCTCAGGAAACACCAACAATGCACCTAGCTACACTCTATCCTCCCTGATGTGAATTCATCTAAATGTAAATATTCATTAAAATAGAAATATTGGCTTCTCTCTGGACATGGAACAGATCAGAGCTAAGCAATAACTGAGTTCAGACCGGGGTAGCAGGATCCTGATGGGGAAGCCTAGGTTGGGGCCACTATGACCCTGGATCCCTTTTGGCCTGCATCTCTTTCCCAAGAGCTGGAATATGGTCCTCTCACACCCAAGTATGAGTCACTAAGCAATTCCATCATCCGTAGTCGTCATACACCCAGTATTGCTCTCTCCCTCACAGCCACATGAGTTGTGACTGATACACCCAATCTCTGTCCAGTTCAGGACTGTCGCGCTTTCAGAGGGAACATGTCCCCCTTCTCTGTCTTAGCACCAGGACATACCAGTTCACTGCACATTTCTATTTCTGTATCATCTCTGCCTTTTTGCTTTGCGACCCCTTTGCAATGTTTCAGGTTTCAAAATGTATTAGAAGACCAGTGCTCTTACCATGAGGGAGTCCCCGGGGAATGCCCCCCCAAGCCCTGTGTGCATGTTAACATGAGGGCCTTGGCTCCTCCTGGGCCAAGGCGACTCTCAGAGCAGACTCAGGGCAGTCCCAGGAAGCCAGGCCTAGCCACAGGGGCACAAAAGCAGGGCATATCCCCAAAGGTCACAGGGTGACTCTCAGGTGGCTTACACTTCTGCTGAGGCCCTGGACTCTCTCCTCCACCCATCAATAACTTCCTCTTTCATTCTGCTGAAAACTACAACCAAACTGAAGAACCGGGCCCCTTTTCGTTTTTTCCTAGAAGGCCTTTATCACATTCTGGTTTCTCCAGGCCATTTCCATGCCTGGTCCTTGACGGCCGGCATCTCCAACAGCAGCAACTCTCTTTGGTTTCTGTCTGGTTTGGGATTCCTGGCCCTGGAAGCTGTCACTACCCGCTTCATGTCTGCTGCCGTTTTCTCCTTCAGAGTGGAAATCACGCAGCCATCGTGCCTGGCTTAGCTCTCAGGGAGGCAAACTCCACACCTGAGCTTACCTGGCTGCCCCATCGTCCCATTCCACAGCAGACAACAATTTGCAAATACTTTCTGCTATGACTGAAAAGCAGCTCGTGTTGCTTTGACTAGAACCCACGTGAAAAGAGCCTCCCTGAGGTCCCCGCTAGAGAGGGTCTCCTCCCTTTTTTTCCCCAAAATTAGAAAGTCAAACTCCTACTTGTCCAAACTCACCACAATTCATTGAATTTTTCTGAGTAGTGGCAGCCCTGGCTAAGAGTCTGAGGAGCCCTGCGTCCCTTGGGAAAGTGGGGGAAGCCTAAAGCAGGGGCCTCTGTACAGAGGTTCAGGACCCCTCCCCACCCTGCTGGAGGAGCACATCTAGAGATGGTGGCGTGAGCCTAGGGGTTCCGCTGAAAAGACAAGCGGCGTGCAAGGGATGCCACAGAAACGCAGGATGCCCGGGAAGGAGCCTCCACAGCTACGCAGGCACTCCCGTGACACTGCTCACCTGGTACGGTTCTGTGGTTGGAAAAGCAATTTCTATTTTAAAATACTTTTTATAAGAAGATGACTTTCCTTTCAGACAAAGCCAAACGTTTAATCACAACATACTGCCTACACATTTTAAAATCTTTTCCCTCTTCCTTCTCACCAAAAAAACAAAACCAAAGCAGGAGACTTGGTGCAGCGTGGCATGCTCCTCTGTGACCCAGAGCCGGGGAGCCCGTCCCTCCCATTTTGCTGAGAGGCTGAGCGCTCAGCTCTGCCCGGGGGCAGCTCTGGGTCCTCCCTGTCCCCAGCACACATGGGGAAGTTGAACAAGATGGTTTGGAAGAGTCGAGCTTCGGTTTCACCATCCCTTCTCTGGAGTCCTAGGCCAGGGCTATGTTCTGCCTCTCCCCTCTGTCCCCAAGTGCCTCTGCTGGCCCTGTGAGTCGGGCCTACAGCTCCCTGCCATCCTCCTCCTCACCGTCCTGGCGCTGGGACCGTCGCCTCTGCTGCACCAGCTGCTTGTCCAGCTCCCGGAGCTGCTTCAAAAAGCCCCGGTTCGGGAGGACGCAGCGGTTCTTGGCCACTTGCTGGATGGCGTCCACCAGGGTCATGTCCTTGTGGATCATCAGGTAGGCCAGGACCAGGGTGGCTGACCGGCTGCGGCCCATGACGCAGTGAACCAGGATCTTACCTGCAGATGGAGCAGGGAGGAGAAAACCCACACTGAGGGGCAGGTGTTGGGGGCACAGGTAGGGCCCACTCCCATCCTGACTGTCACCCTCTCGCCCACAGAAAGTGACTCAGCACTGTGCCCCACAGCTGCCTCTGTAGAACGGGGACACTCTCGGTGTCTTCTTCATAGGGTTGTTGAGAAGGCAAATAACCCTGTAAATAACTCGATTTTAGCACAATTTGTTTGTGCTAATGAATGGCTGCTGAGCTCCTACAGTGTGGCTGGGCTGCCTTTCCCCTGAGCACCATGGCCAGAAAGCAAGCACCCACTTCTTGATTGCTGTTTCGGATCTGGGGGAGGCTGGTCCCAGGTTCTCCCTGGCATGACCGCGCTCCTGGGGTGTGAACGTGTCCAGCTGGATGAATGTCCACCCCTGGCATTCAAATCCCACGGACCTTTCTGGAGGCTGCCGGGCCTCTGGCCAGCCCTGCTGATAACCAAAGCGTTTCTTCCTCTCCCAGAAAACAGGGTAATTCTTTCTGTCATGACTCAGTACTTGAAACAGATGAAAGCTGTAGTTCATTAAGCCTTTTGGGGGCCTGAATTCTGTTAAGTGGCAGAGGGGAGGGGAGAAAGAGTTGGAAGGGAGATGGAGGGGGTGGGAGGAGAGGGGGAGGTGGAGGGAGCAGGAGAGAAAGGGGAAAAGGAGGGACAGAGGACACTAAGCTCTGGTAGGAGTTCCAAGAGCTGAATTTTGTTTCCAAGACTAGGGCATGAGGCCGGGCGCGGTGGCTCACACCTGTAATCCCAGCACTTTGGGAGGCTGAGGTGGGCGGATCACTTGAGGTTGGGAGTTCAAGCTGGGTGAATGCACATGTGTTACTATTGGAGGAGTCAGGCCTATTGAGAAGAATCAAGGTCCAGGCAACACTTTTGTTCCTTCTTGTGGTCAGATTAGCTGAGACCCATCATGCCAGAGCACATCTCTTACCATCACAGGGGCCAGCACTATACCTGTGTTGGGCTTTTATTTCCCAACTTCTGTCAGAGCTCCTAGGGTCCCCCTGGCCAGAGCACACTTGTTGCAGTGGGAGAGATCAGCGCCCCTCTCATGCTTGGAGATACTTTTCTTCATGACTACAGTCAGAGCCCTTGAGGCATGCCTGACCACAGTTCATCTTTAGGAACAGCAGCAGCTAGTGCATACCTATGCTTGCAGGTCCTTATGTTCTCACATACAGTCAGAGCACCTGGAGCCCATGTGGTTAAAGCCTGGCCAACATGGCAAAACTCCATCTCTACACAAAAATTAGCCAGTCGTGGTGGTGCACCTGTAGTCCCGGCTACTCAGGAGGCGGAGGCAGGAGAATTGCTTGAACCCAGGAGTTAGAGGTTGCAGTGAGCTGAGATCGCGCCACTACACTCCAGCCGGGGCGACAGAGCAAGACTGCATCTCAAGAAAAGGAAACCCAAATCCAGAATCTCTACTGCTCCTCAATTGCATGCTTTTAGGAGTGACTGGAAGGTAGGCCTCTGTCACGAAAATCAGACGTAGGCTAAGACTGTTACCCTGCACCACGCTCCGCCCCGCAGCCAGGTGTGCTCCTTGCTAAGCAGACTCCTTCCTTGCTTTCAGGAGATGCTTTCTGCCCATCTCCCATGCACTATCTGGGAACCTGCCTTTCTTAGTAACTTGCAAAGAAATTCTGGTAGAGCCCTTACTTCTTCCCAAGAGGTTCTAGGTGTGTGGAAGTTCTGAGAAACAAGGTGCAAGGTGTATTATGAACTGCCGGGGCTGGAGGGAGATAGGGCAAGAGACCCTTCCAACAGTGAAAATCGGCTGGGCGTGGTGGCTCATGCCTCTAATCCCAGCACTTTGGGAAGCCGAGGTGGGTGGATCACTTGAGGCCAGGAATTGGAGACCAGACTGGCCAACATGGTGAAACCCTGTCTCTACTAAAAAATACAAAAATTCACCAGGTGTGGTGGTGGGCACCTCCCAGCTACCTGGGAGGCTGAAAGAGGAGAATCGCTTGAATCCGGGAGGTGGAGGTTGCAGTGAGTGGAGATCACGCCACTGCACTCCAGCCTGGGTGACAGAGCGAGATTCCGTCTCAAAAAAACAAAAACAAAAACCAAACAGTGAAAATCTGGTCGGTTAAAGCTTATTAGAAGCACCAGAGAATCAACCTCCTGCTTGAAAGCAGGCTTCATTTATTTATTCATACTTCCCTTATCCATAATATATTTTAAGATGCCTTCAGAAGCAGGCCATGGACTGCCAAAAGGAGAGCGTGATACTAAAGTCTGATCTTTAGCGCCTCGTGGCATTTGCCCTGGAGTTTCTTAGAAGACTTCATTAAATTAAAACCACACTAATTCACCTCGGAGGATGCCGAATCGGGGGCAGTTAAAGCAACCCAAGTGGGGTTCCTGTGACAGTATTTTGTGAGTACTTCTTTTTCTGATGAAGAGTGACAAATTCAGTTTTTTCAGATCCTATAACCAGCTGGCATGACTCGCCCTCCATGATATTCGGTGACCTCTTATACAGCAAAGTCACCAGGTGCTCAAAATAAGGGCAGAGGACTCTTCTGTGAGGCCTCGGTGACAGAAGGAATCCCCGCTGGTAGGCAGGTGTCCTGATGGCGCTGCCTCTGATTAGCTCTGTGACCCTGGGCACCTCACTTGTCTTCTCTGGGCCTCTGTTTGCCCAGCTGTCAGGGCAGGACCAGGGACTGGATTATCTCCGAGATATTTTAAGAGTGACTGAGGTTGCCTGGGGAGTTCTTTATAAAGGGTCAAGTCAGGGTAGTGATGGGATGGGAGAGGGCCCCAGGGGCTGATTACAGCCCACGAGTACAGCTCCACAAGGAACGCTTTTCAAAAAGAGTGAAAATGACCGGCTGTGAGAAGCCAGGTAGGGGGAATGGTGTACACTTGGCTGAAACCAGTCAATGAGAACAAAGAACATAGACAAGAGGAAGCAAGGAGTGATGCCTTGCTTTTTGGCCAGACTGTCTATCCACACCACTTACATAGAGAGTGTAAGAAACATACAAGTAGGTCCAGCACTAAAATGCCAAGCAGTGTCCCTTGCCTAGACACAACTGCATGTGGCAGGTGGGCTGAGCACCTGCCGTCCACTGGGTATGAAGTCTGTGGCATTGCTGCTGCTGAGCTAGCGGGCATTTTGTTTGGTTGCTCTGGCCACTCAGGGCACAGGTTACAACCTGATGGCCATTGGGTTGCTTTAGTCTGTCCTTTGCAGCATTTTAAGAAATTTCAATCTGTTGCCAAGACCTAAAAATCGAGTGATTTTATAATCCAGATTGGAGACTTCTGAAAAGTCAGATCTCCCACATTTGCACTGACTCTCACAAGACAAGCATTAGCTGAGGCTGGGTGGCAGGTGCCCCTCTGAAGGGGTACAGGGCTCTCTGCTTAGCCACAAGTGCCCCCTACCCACACCCCTCCGCTGTACATGCAGCCATCTTCATTTGTTTACACTCTGCATGGTTCTGCAGGGTAGGCGTTTGAGCCCTGACTTGAATTATTTAGATATGCCAGTGCAAAGGTGCTGAGAGCAGAGCCTACCCTGCCATCTCCAGTGGGGTCATGTCCTGCTCCCCATCCCTAGCCATCTGGTCGAGTCCCGGCACCCCCATCCATTCATTCTATCCCACTCATAGTCTCTGATCCAAGTATCTACTCTCCTCCGTTGGCCCTTTGTTTGCTAGGTGCCACCTGGTCTAACAGTCATGATCCACAGCAGCCTGACACCTCCTCATAATGTTCTGTCATCTGCCTAGGCCTAAGCTTCAACTTGAGAGCCTGATTCTTTCTGGATTTGGCAGTGGGGGCAGACCCTAAAATTGAGTGCCAGGAACCTACAACAAGCTTTCATGTGAGTATATCTTACAGTTCAAAGTTGGAATGTCTTTTTTTTTTCTTTGAGGATTGGAAACTTTACGATGATGATGTGCACATGCTGGCGTGGTTATATGCTTCACAGTGTATGACCACGCTTTATCAAATACATCCGAGAGCCTGCTGTCCACCAGGTTCTATGCTAAGCGCTTTACGCGCGTTACTGCTGATCCTCATTATAACCTCTGAAGGTAAATATTTTTATCACCGGATGGAGAAACCAAGGCTCAGAGAAATCACATCGTTAGTAAATTGTGTGACAGAAATGTAAACCCAGCCCTGTCTTCTCCGAAGCCTGCCAGGCCCCTTCCATGAAGGGTAAGGTCTAAAATATAGTAATGGCAAGTGAGTGCATTAAACAGAAACTGAAGGATTAGGTTGTTGCAGTCTTTGTTTTTTTCATGTCAAATGTGTTTTCAGTTAACTTCAAATACTATGAGGCAAATTTTACCTTGTGGTGATGACTCAGTTCAGTTGTGTTTTTGATCCTGCTTGGAAACCCAGAATGTACACAGCACAAAAGATGGTTCATAAATAGACTCATAAAAGGAAGGCCTGGAAATGAGGCATCTTCTAATACAGGCATGTTAGCTCTAAGGGTTTTTTTTCATTGTGACATTGCTTTCTGAGCCAAAATAATGACAAATTGTTGGTGGCTATGGTTGGCTGTGGGGCCAGGGCCACCTTGGGATGTCCATTAAGGTCTGATATTGTCCAGCAGACCTGGCCTAGGCCCAGCCCCAGGTTGCAAGTTCCTGCAGCAGACTATTTGGTCAGTCACTGAGCCTTGTAATCACAACCTCTTGTGGCAAGAAAGGCTTTCAGTAACCAGATACCCTGAATTATGTGATGGCTCCACAAAGGGGTGTGTGACACATTGGGCTGAAGTCAGAGCACAGATTAGGGAGCTGAAGTCCCTCTGGCCTCTGTGGAATTCCACTGAAGTACACCCTGCAGCAATAACTGTATATTGTCTTACCCCCGATGCGTCCCTAAGCTGTGCCCTTCTCTCCAAAATAGCCTTGTAGCCTTTGCTGGATTAGGGTAGCCAACAGTGCATTCTGAGCACAAAGACTAGCACTGTGATTTAAAAGCTGGATAATTAACACTGGGAAAACTTGGACGCTGGGGGTGCAAAACCCAAATTATACCTCAAATACAGCGTGCCAGTAAAGCCCAGCTTGTCAGCTTTCTACTGGAGGCCTCACGAGGCTGAGTGTAACTGGGGAGTGTAACTTGGTTGGTGGGCAGGAGAATTTAAGGTCTCTCCATGGATTCCCACTCAAGTCAGCTCCCTGAGGGTTTTCTGGCATCAAAGCCCTTGGCTACTAGTTGGGTTCAGGCCCAGGCACAATTAGTGTCTCCGGCCGCAGTCCCAGCTTTGAGAGCTCCCAGACCGCCTCCGCCTTTTGAAGGATGGCAAATGTTCTTTAGCAAAGACTCCGACCAAAAGGCCTTTTATTCTTACGCCCTATTTCCATTCCCCAGAGCTGCAATCAAGGCCCGAACCCCACCAGCAGCACGCTGGGTGGTGCAGGTCCTTAAACCTTCACAGCTTCCAGGGGCTCGGACCTTTACCCTCGGCCACAAGCAGCCCCAGTGGCCCAGCTTTGCGACAAAGATTTCGCACGCGCACATCCCGCTTCCGGCCTGGGCCTCAGACGGGGAAACCTTGGGCTAAGGGCGGAGCCTAGGCTAGGGGCGGAGCCTTAGTGGGGCGGGGAAGGGGCGGGGCCTAAGCTACGGGCGGGGCGAGTCGGGGCGGGGCGGGGCGGGGCCGATCGGGGCGGGGCCGCGGGTCTCTTACTGTGGTCGTCGCTTAGCGCTCTGTCGATGAAGGCTGCCGCCGGGTAGAAGAAGACACTGAGGTCGAAGGTGGGCAGGTCGTCGGCCTCCACGCCGTGGTACTGGATGTCCATGTCGCGGTAGTAGTCGGGCCCAGTGTCCACGTTCCAGCGGCCGTGGGCCGCGTTCAGCACGTGCGTGAACCCCGCCTTCTGCAGCCTATAGCGGTCCAGCGCCGTCGCCCTGGGCGCAGGGGAGAGAAATCTGTGGGCGCGCGGCGCCCTGCCCCGGGTCCGGGAAACTCAGGGGCCACCCACGCTTTCCGCTGTGGATTCCAGTTCCAGAATGAGGACTAGTTATTGCAAATGAAGTCCCAAAGCTCTGCTCTTACCCGGTCCCCTAGGCCACCTGCACTGTTTTGTGATTCTGGCTCGGCTGTCTCAAGAAAGGACAGGGTGGAGGCTGGGGTAGGCAAGCTGAGCTATTCGTTCGTCCATTAGTTCTTTCATCATTCAGTATACACAGCGGAACCTGGTGCTGGCCTCTACGGTGGTCGCAGATCTGGACCTGCCAAATCGCCTGAAAGCCCTCCAGAATAACCTGTTCATCAGGGCTGCCTTCTCCCAACCTCTGCTCTGAACCTGCTGGATGTTTTTAGGGTTTGGAGATGGACGCTCAACTGAATGGTTTAAAGCAAGGCCTTCCATAAGAGGATTGGATTGGGATTGGGCAAAGTTCACAAATTCACGTTGGCACGATGTGAACGGGAAAGTGTTGCTTTGGGGAGCTGTTGCCCAGCTGGGCAGAGCATTGTTCTGAGAAGGAGGGCTTTTTGAGCCATCTGTTGTTTGAATTGATTGCAGGGAAGTTCTTGAAGCCAGCAGTGAAGTTATTTAATGGGCTACAGCTTTATCTTTCTAGGCAAGAATTTCCAGGAACAGTAAAGTCCTCTTGAAGTAGGTGGCTCTGAAATATGACTCGATGAGAAGGCAGCATGGTGGGGCCGGAGTGGAGATGGGCTGCCAGAGGAAACACGGGTTCTTCCTGCCTGTGGGGTGGGGCAGGGAGAGGCCTGTGTCACTACAAGTGTCAACATTTGGTGATGGAGGGGAAGAAGGAGGCAAGCGCGGGCCAAGCCAAGGAAACAGCACCACCTGAGGTATGGAGGCTGGAGACAACGAAGGCCTTTCAGGAAGCATTGTCTATTTCCTGTAATCAATTATCCATCCCCAAATAATTATTTGCAATCTATTATGTGCCAGGCACTGTGCTGGGTGCTGATGGTAAAGAAATGAACAGGGGCCGAGCACAATGGCTCACGCCTATAATCCCAGCACTTTCGGAAGCCGAGGCAGGCAAATCACATGAGGTCAGGAGTTCGAGACCAGCCTGGTCAACGTGGCGAAACCCTGTCTCTACTAATAATACAAAAAGAAAAAACAAAAAACAGCCAGGTGTGATGGCGCATGCCTGCAGTCCCAGCTACTTGGGAGGCTGAGGCACAAGAATCGCTTGAACCCAGGAAGTGGAGGTTGTCGTGAGCTGAGACCACGCCACTGCACTCCAGCCTGGGTGACAGAGTGAAACTGTCTCAAAAAACAAAAGAACAGGTTAGTGAAGTTCCCTCAGGAAGGTCAGATACTAATGGGGGTAGGAAATAAACAAAGATAATTTTAGATAGCAGTGAGAGCTATCCGAAGGACCTAAAACTTCATGACATGATACAAAATGACTGTGGTCCTGCTTCAGGCAAGGCGGTCAGGAAAGGCCACTGTGGGGAGGTGGTGTTTAAGCCAAGACTGAGGGATGAGAAGGCTGAGGAAGAGTTGGAGAGAAAGCGTTTCATCCAGGCAGAGGGAACAACTGCTGAGAACAGAAAGGAAGCCAGTGTGGCTGAAGTGGCAAGGGGAATAGGAGTTTGGAAAGGTAGAGGGGCTGGAGCATGGTGGGCCCTGCCCGCCATAGGAAGGAGTATTATTGCAAGTGTGGTGGAAGTCTGCTAGAGGATTTTAAGAAAGAAGTAAGCATTGTTTACTTTTTTAAAGATCAATCTGGCCAGACAAGGTGGCTCACACCTGTAATCCTAGCACTTTGGGGAGGCCAAAGCGGGAGGGTGGCCTGAGACCAGGAGTTCAAGACCAGCCTGGGCAACATCATGAAACCCCATCTCTACAAGATATAAGGGAAAAAAATTAGCCGGGCATGCTGGCATGTGCCTGTAGTCCCAGCTACTGGGGAGGCTGAAGTGGGAGGATCACCTGAGCTCAGGGAGGTTGAGGCTGCAGTGAGCTGTGATTGCACCACTGCACTCAGTCTGAGCAGCAGAGACTCTGTCTTTAAAAAAAAAAGAAAAGAAAAAAGAAAGAAAGAAAAAGAAAAATCAATCTGGCTGATGTGTGGGGATCCTGGATGCTAGGATCTGTGTTTGGGAGTCAAAGAGAGCTCTAGAGAGTGTTTAAAGAGAAGTGATACAATCTGGGTTTAAGAAGACACTTCCCTCAATAGCATGAAGACCAGGACTTCAGCTCAGGGAAGATGTGACAAGGGTCTGGAGCCGTACCAGTAAGAGGGTAAAAGTGGCATTGCACTCCAGCTGAGGGCTCATCTCAAGGCCACTGGTAAAAGCATGTGGACAGAAGTGACCATGTTAGATGCTAGCAGGGACCAACACCCTGAGCCAGGAGGAAGCCTCACACCAGAAATATATGCCATGGCCCCTCGGCCAAGGGTGCGCTTGTCTTTCATTGGTTTCCTGGAGCTTTTTATTTGGCATGAGAACCATGATGGTGTCCAGTGTTTGGGAAGGGAATTGAGCATTTGGAAACATTTGCAGACAGCCCATCAGAACTGTGGCATGGGGAGGTGGGGAGTCCCACTGAGCCCCCCTCCACTTGGCTCTTAGTGTGGCCATTCTGACTGTGGGACACATTGTGCTTTCCATTTTTCCTTAGAAAGGTCTGCTTTTCATTTTTCGTCTTGCCCCAAAGTATGTGTACAACAAACATTATGCTTTGGGGACGTAGATCTGCGCCCAATTAAAGCCGCCGCTAATGCAGTCCATCTTGCTGAGTAGCAATCAACCTCACTTTGAGGTTGAGCTCAGTGGAAAAATTAAAATTAACTCTTCTTGACAGGAAGCTCCTACCCACCATGAAGACTGTTCTCTCTGGGTTCAGTAACTGGCTTTCAACATAATCAAGTGGCAGTTTGAATGAATAACAGTTTGCACTTTGCCACTTTTGGGGAGCGGGATAGATATGCAACAAGACTCATTGCCTGACACCTCCATATCCACCACACCAGGCTGACGTTGGTTGTGCCTGAGGCAGAGAAAGGGGCTCGTGAGGACCCTGAGACCCGGTGGGTATTTGAGGCCCACCACAAGTTTTCAGGGTCTTGGCTCCCTGGACGGGAAGGGGAGTTGGTATCCTCACACATCACTCTGGGGACTTCCCCCAGCTTCATTCACTCAGAGTTCAGTTGAGGGCTTGAAAGAGCATCCACAGCAGAATGGGAATCTGCAAATAAATGGAGTGCCTCTTACACAGATGTTGTGGGGGAGGCAGAGCCATCATCACAGACACCCATCGTCCAGTCCCCAGATGGGACAGATGCCCAGCTCAGCAATTATTGGGAGTGGGGCAGGCTCAGAGGGTGGTGTCTGACACTAGATTGCTTTGGTTTTGTTTTTAAATTTCAGGGCCACATACATTATCTGCTCACATATGTTAAAAAGAGACTAAGAAACACAGGGGCATTTTGAGGTGATGGGCATGGAGAAAAGGCCGTGTGCCCCACTCCTGGGTCCACATAAATGCCTCTGCTGAGGGAGAAAAGACTTCAGAAAGAAAAACAGATTTAAGAATGTACTTCCAGAATCTAGATGACACAGGAGCTTTAGTTTCTGGTTAGGCACAATCCTAGATGTGATCAGTCTGTTCAATTTTTAAATAATATGTCGTCTCATGACAAAAATAACACATGCTCAATGTAGAATGTAGAAAACATACTCCCCCCTCCAAAAAAATCACCTGTATTTCTACTCCCCTGGAGATAAAGGCTATTGTTAGCTTTTGATGTAAGAACCTCCCATTGTTTCTCTATGCATAGATTTGTATATTTTATAGAAAGGTTTTTTTTTGGTACAATACTATATATATAAAGTTTCAAAACCTTTGACGTGATATATTGTAAACATCTTCCTGTGGCAACATATAAGACTTCAATAACTGCATGCTATTTCATTATATAGGTATGTCCCAATTTTTTCTTACCAAACATTTTGATGTGTTTCTTTGGGCACTCCTCTGTTTATGTCCGTAGGAGACATTTTTAAAGGTGAAATTGCTGGGTCAACAGATATGGCCATTTTAAAATACATTTGATACTTGTTACTAAATTACCCTACAGAAAACTTGCTAAAATTGCTAAAAATTGCAGTCCGTATTCTTTGTCAATTTCATAGACAAAAAAAATTAATGGTGTCTTGTTTTCACTGATTCATTTTAGCAGTGATGGACATTGTTTACACATTTGTTGGACTCATGCAGTTTACTTTTTTTTTTTGTAACCTTTTTTTTACTCTTCCCAGTTCACTGGAATCATGTAGTTTACTTTTTTTTTCTTTTTTTTTTTTGAGACAGAGTCTCGCTCTGTCGCCCAGGCTGGAGTGCAGTGGCGCAATCTCGGCTCACTGCTCACTGCAACCTCCACCTCCCAGGTTCAAGCAATTCTCCTGCCTCAGCCTCCCGAGTAGCTGAGATTACACGTGTGTGCCACCATGCGTGGCTAATTTTTGTATTTTTAGTAGAGACAGGGTTTCACCATGTTGGCCAGGCTGGTCTCAAATTCCTGACTTCAGGTAATCCACCTGCCTCCACCTCCCAAACCCAGTGGAGTCTTAACCGTGCAGTCTTGAGTGTGCCCGTTCCTTGCAAGTGGACTTTAAAACAGTGGGCACATTTCTGGCATCTGATCTCGGTTAGTTCACCTGATGGGAAAGTGAAATGAACCGGCCTTCCGGTGTCTTGGGTGTTCTTGTTACTTGAGGGTGAAGCTCCTCCGTGTTGAGGCACCTGAGAAAACATAGGGCTGACAGCTGAAACTGACGCATGAACTGAGGTGGCAGAACTGCTGGGAGCCTCCGTTTTCTTTGTTTGCTAAATAGTACCGATTACACTGGCAGTACTTTCCTTGTGAGAGTCTTGTGAAGTTGAATGATGCAATACTGAAGCTTCTTTGAGAGGTTAAAAGATGACTCCAAGGGGAAAAGGCAGTGGAAAGATTTATGTCAGAATGTGCTTATCCCATGACAAAATGTGGTAATGGGATTATATGTAGTTTAAATTTTCTTGTTTTTGTCTTTCTACATTTTGTACATTTTCAGTAATGAACGAGTCATATATTCATTTACTATGTAAATATAGCATGATTTGTATTGTTATTTCCTTAGTTTTCAGGAGAGACCATTGTAAAGGCATAAGGTGGCCTCGGGGTTTTTAACTTCTACTGGAAATCTCCTGTCTGCCCCACTCTCCCAAACTCTATTCCTCCAAGGATGGAGGTGAAGAGAAGAGAGTACCCAGGAGGTCTGGTTTTGAGAAATGATGTCGTGTGAGTGATTGGACTCGGCATTTGCCTAACCATGCAAGGAGATGGTTTATGTTGCTTGAGGCCTTGACTGCTAAGCCGTGTTCTGGCAATGAGAAGGCCAGGCCAGGCCAGGGCCTCAGGCTTCTCTCCCCGACCGTCTTGCCTGTGACTGCTGCCCAGCTATGCCTCAGTTGCCTTCAGTAGTTGGAAGTCCTAGTTATTTCAGGTAACGCCCAGCATGTTAAATTCGCAACCTTGACTGTTTTTTGCTGCATCCTAAACTGGCCACACCACCCACACCTCGAAGAAGCAGGTTAATTTCATTCGTGCTCGGTGCCTTAAGGCGGAATTAGTTCCTCCTTTTCGGGGAGAAGGAGCTGTCTCAGCTGACTGACTTGCCTTCACTTCACTTCCCAGGCTCTCAACGCCAGGCCAGCTGTGGCGATGCCTCTGGCTTCTGAGGCTGTGGGTCTGGTCAGAAGCAGAAAAGCAGAAAGGACAAGACAGAGGTTCCCTGGAAAGCCAGCTTGGGCTGGGTGGGTGGGGCAGGCTGCAGGCCTTGGCAGGAATCTGAGCCCAAATGCCGGACCTTGGAGGCAACTGTAGTTTACACAAAAATAAGGAGCTCCTGAGGGCCCGCACCATTCCATGAGCAGCAGAAGTTTAACCTCACCCTGGCACTGGCTCTCCGACACCCGCATTGTGGAGAGGGAAGAGAGATTTCTCAATTATCCCGTTTCAGCCAAGCCTTATCACTGGAGGCTGCCCTGCCTAGGAATTTGCAATCACTTTGATGGTAGCCAGGATATTTCCCCTCCTGCTGACTATAGGGAAAAAAAGGACTGAAAAAAGATTTTGCTAAGCAAATGAAAGATGTGAACGAGATTAAAGTGAGAATATTTAAATTACAGAAACTTAGTGCTTTCGAGCGTACTCAAGCATTTTTGAAGCACCCATTTAGGGACTGCTGATTGATAAGAGGTGATGAATTATTCTTATCTCATCATTGACGCCAGTCCCTGGCTCTCTGGAGGACAACACTTGGTTAACCTAATTTGAATCTAATTTGAATGACTTAAAAGTAATAAAACAAGTGTGTGCTTGAAACTAATAAAGCCTAATTCATTTAATAGGCCATTTCTTAAATAATTTTATTTTAGAGCTGGAAGGGAACCTTCGAAATCATCCTTTATTTTACAAATAAAGAAACTGAGTCCCAGAACAATAAAATGCTTTGCCAAAGGCCACCCATAGTTGGTGGCCACCCACACACAGTGGGGACTGGGACGCTGTGCCGAGTCATGCCTGAGCCCTCCGCTCCACGCTGAGCCTGCAGTTCCACTTGTGGCAGATTCAGACCCCTATCGAGTTAGAGGAATGAGTGGGGAGTGGGTGGCTACACCTTGTGTGAAGAAGACTTCCCCCGAACCCCAGGAATATCTGCAAGGTGGCCAGCCAGGCCCCACCCCTTCGACCCCTCTGCTGAGCCGGCAGAGTGAGCACCCTCCACGTTGCCCTCCTGTTTGTGGCCTTTTCTCATCAGGCTGCACTGGCAGGGCCACCTTTCCCCTTCCCTGGGCTGCTGAGCAGTGAGGACTTGGAATTACCAGGCAGCCCACTTGGTGAATCCCCTTGAGCTAACCTGGGATGGAGAAAATGCTTTAGCGATTTTGAAACCCGCAGGCCCAAGGAACTTTGATATGGCTGCCTTCTTAGGCCTTAGGTCACCTCCCTGGAAGGCCTAGGAGAGCAGGCCCTCCTTCCAACACTCTGCCCTGGGTCATGATAGAATTCTCATGGGAGAAATCTGACCCAGGGTTGTTTTCTCTCCCAAGGCTTCCCCTAGCATGGGGGACCCTGGGTGGCAAGGCACAGTGACTGTGCTTTACCTTCCTCATACACTGTGAATCGAATTTCCAGAACCTGCCTGATTTGTCATAGTTCAAACTTGATGAATGTACTGGGCACCGTGAGACATGTTTTGCTTGCATTAACGCATAGAATCCACATAGGCGAAGAAGCTGAAAGTCACAAAGCCTGAGTGACTTGCCCAAGGCCACACAGAAACCAGTGTTCAGTCCAGACACTGTGGACCCAGAGCAGATGCTTGGCCGCTCCACCTATCTCCACAAAAAGGAGCAAGGAAAAGAGTGAGCTTCATCTTAGAGGTAAGTATGCCCCGCTGCAGGCCCCACAGTCACTGGCCTGGGCTCCAAGGATAGATAGTAGCTTTGGCCATCCCAGGACATCCATCCTTACTCCTGGGTCCTGACCTCCTTCACTTCCAGAGCCTTGGTACTGGGCTTTCAAAAATCTTAGGTGCTTTTAGGGAAAGGAAAAACCTAACCGAAATGTAAATATCAAATTAAAACTGAGGCTTTGTGCATGAGGAACCAGCTTGGAGCTTTTGGCTGCTTTGGGCAACCCCTGCAAAGAGACCAAGAAACACAGGCAGCCTTGCCTGTTCACAGCCCAGCTTATAACCTTTGCATGGCTGCATTGGCGGTAGAGTTAATTGCTCTTGCAATAAGCGTCTGTGAGTCTCATTAACCTTGTTAAGTGAGTGTCACAGAAATCAGGGACAAGCACACACCATGCTGACTTGAGGCTCCCTCCCTCAGCTGGGGGTGTAAAGTCTCACACACCTGTGTGTGCTTGTATTGGGGCTCGATTAGGCACAGTTGGATTGAATTAAAAGGGCAGTGACATTTTCCATTTTCTTGGTTGAAAGAAGCAAGTTCAAGGTCAAACATCAAGGAGGCAAGCATATTTTATTGTCTAGCACTCGATTAACTAGAACACGTCAGTTCTGCTCAGACACTCAATGGTTTTCTGAATAAAGTCCCTTGGCCGTCATTCACCCTTCCATGAGCTGGCCCTGACCTACCTTTCCAGATTTCTTTTTTGTTAACTATAATATTTGCATTTGTCTACTTTTTTTTTTTTTTTTTTTTTTCTTGAGACGGAGTTTCGCTTTGTCACCAGGCTGGAGTGCAGTGGCGCGATCTCGGCTCACTGCAACCTCCGCCTCCCGGGTTCACGCCATTCTCCTACCTCGGCCTCCCGAGTAGCTGGGATTACAGGAGCCCGCCACCATGCCAGGCTAATTTTTTTGTATTTTTAGTGGAGACAGCATTTCACCGTGTTAGCCAGGATGGTCTCAATCTCCTGACCTCGTAATCCGCCTGCCTCGGCCTCCCAAAGTGCTGGGATTACAGGCGTGAGCCAACGCGCCCGGCCATCCCCGGCTAATTTTTGTATTTTTAGTAGAGGCGGGGTTTTGCCATGTTGGCCAGGCTGGTCTCGAACTTGTGACTTCAAGCGAGCCACCTGCCTCGGCCTCCCAAAGTGTTGAGATTACAGGCGTGAGCCACCACGCCTGGCCAACTATTCTTCAAGTTGAGGAAAAGGTAAAATAACCTGCCCAAAGCCAATGCACCTGACCAGGAGGCTGTGCCAGATGGCATTATTGTTAGAACGTTTGCAGCCCCTCTGGCTGCGCTAGTTATACTTTCCTGCCCCACTGACATGAGGCTTTGGCGTGGACTTGCTTTTGCCAGTGAAATGTGGGCAAAAATGGCATGTGTCACTTCTAAATCAGCTTATGGTTTGCTAGGTCTCTCTTTTCTCTCTGCTGCAAGGCTGGCAAGATCTCAAATCAGGGCTGCTCTATCACCCTGGGTCCTAGAGTAAAGTGGCCGGGAGCGCAGCAGAGCTGGCCCACCATGGACTGCATTGTGAGTGAGAAAGAATCATTGCTGTGGCCGGCCACCAAGATGTTGGGGTGAGCTATTAGACTAGCACAGCTAATCGAAACTGACCACACAGCAGTAGAATTTGGCTTAATCTTGGACCTTCTGAAAGTGTACCACATTCATCCCCTATATTCCAGATGAATCTCCCTGCTTTTCTCACCTCTGTAGCTATTCCCATCCTGCTTCCTCTGCCTGGAATTTCTTTGAAATCCTACCCATCTTCAAAAGTCGAGCCTAGATCCATGTCTTCTGTGATCTTTCTCAGATCCATAATAGCACCAAGCACTTACTGAGCATTTACTACTTGCCAGATACTACTCTAGCATTTGTTTGATTTCATTTAATCTTCACCCAGTGAGATAAGTCCCATTATTGTTGCCACATAAGGTGAAGAGAGGTAAAATAATTTGTCCAAGGTCACACAACTGGTAATTGGCAGAGCCAAGACTCAAACCCCGTGCTCCTTCCCCTCTAGTACTCACCGCTGTTTCTGTTCCCTGTTACATTTCTACCCATCTCCTCCCTCTCCCCTCCTCAACTCTGAAACAGCTTCTTTACCTGACTGACCATGTTTTTTTTTTTTTGATCTGGATTTGAGTATAAATTTTACCCCTTTCTGGTGGTGAGAACTTGGGCTGGTCACTTGATTTCTCTGAGCTTCAGTGTCTTCTTTTTTTCCCCCGCAGCTCCAAGCAAGGTGTCCAGTAAAGGGTTACTGGCTGACTGAATGAATGAATGAACTCTCTGAGCTGTGACTTGTCCATTTGTAAAATGGGAATAATATTTGTAAAATGGTTCCTCCTTTATAGGGTTGTTGAGGAGTCTAAATGATGCCTAGCACAAGGCATGACACCTACCACCTAAGAATTCAATACAACTTAACTATTATTATTATAAGCCATAGGAAAGGTAAATACAGTATATAATATACAGAGAAAAAGCTTACTTCTCACTATGGGGATTGGAGGAAGCTAGCTTCATGGCAGAAGTGACTTGAATGGACTTTGAAGAATGCATAGGATCTGGACTTGGACATGAGGTGCAGGGAAAGACATTTTAGACAAAGGGAACAGCATGGATAAAGATACAGAGACAGTTTAAGTCTTAAAATCTTAATCTTTCCTCAGTTGTACCATTTCTAGGGTCAGATCTAAGGAAATAATTCTAAATATAGAAAAAACATTATGTGTAAAGATGTCCACTGCAGTGTTGTTTATAAAAGTGAAAACATAAAAATAACTGATATGCCCAACAATAAGGAAGTAGTTAAATGAATGCTCTTCTGTTCATCTGATATATTGTCATGTCTATTATAATTAAATATATAAGAAGTAATAAAAGAAAATGTTTATGAATGATGCTATGTGAGAAATAAGAGAAAATGAATAATCATTATAGTTACAATTATATAAAAACAAATTCCAAAACCAAAAGTAATATTCGGAAAGTCTAGGAGGAAATATACCACAATATTAATAGGAGTATCTTTGAAGTAATGGCCTTTGGTGACTGCTTTGGGATATTGAAAGCAATCTTTCTTACATTTATCATTTTTTTATTATCATAGCTAAACTTTACTGAGCACTTCCTATGTACTAGGCAGTGCACTATTTTACACACATTACCCAACTTAATCCATACAGCCCTGTGAGGAAGGTTATCTTATTAGCCTCTTACCAATAGGGAAACCGAGACTTCTCTATTTACACAATGAGCATATGTTACTTTTTTTTTTTGAGACAGGGTCTCACTCTGTCACCCAGACTAGAGTGCAGTGGCACCATTACAGCTCACTGTAGCCATGACCTCCTGGACTCAAGTGATCCGCCCACCTCAGCCCCCCAAGTAGCTGGGACTATAGGTACATGCCACCAAGCCCAGAAAATTTTTAAAAATTTTTGGTAGAGATGGTGTCTTGCTATATTGCTCAGGCTACTTGCAAACTCCTGGGCTCAAGCAATCCTCCCACCTTGGCCTCCCAAAGTTACAGGGTTACAGGGGTGAGCCATCATGCCCGGCCTATTACTTTCATTATAGGAAATATTTACTACATTTATTTAATATTTTGTTATTAAAAGACTAGAGATGTCAGTCCCTCCTTTTTTTTTTTGCTACTTCAAACAGTGTTATAATAAGCATCGCTGCACATATTTTCTCATTATTGCTACTCTTATTTCTGTAAATTACATTTCTTAAAGTGATATTTTGGGTCAAAATATATGTGTGCCTTTTTTATTCTGAACTAATTTTAGACTTACAGAAACGTGCAAATATCACACAGAGATTGGCAATAAAAAGGAATCAAATACTGATACAAGTACAATTTGGATGAACCTGGAAAACATTATACAAAGTAAAAGAAAGCCAGGAACATATTATAACATTCCATTTATACAGAATGTCTGGGAATCAGTAAATCTATAAAAACAGAAAGTAGATTGGTGGTTGCCAGGGCCTGAGAGGCAGGTAGGGAATGGGGAGTGACTGTTTAGTGGGTTCAGGGTTTCCTTTTGAGGTGACAAAAATATTCTGAAATTAGAGAGTGGTGATGTTTGCACAACTCTGTAAATATAACAAAAGCTCTGAATTGTATACTTTAAAAGGGTGAACTTTATGGTCTATGAATTATTTCTCAATAAAGCCAAATTCAAAGAAGAAAACCTTAGAGAGTTTCTGTACACCCCTCTCCTTCCTTCCCCTAATGTTCACAACTGAGAAATTGTGGGTAAATTGTGGCACAGCTAACTATGGATTAATAAAAGTATACAACAGTATGTATATATAGTATGGGGTTTTGTTTGTTTTGGAGACAAACTGTTGCTCTATCCCTCAGGCTAAAGTGCAGTGGCACAATCTTGGCTCACTGCAGCATCACTCTCCTGGTCTCCAGCAATCTTCCTCCCTCCCCAGTAGCTGGGACTATAGGTGTGCACCACCATGCTGGTGCTTTTTGTTTTTTGTGTTTTTTTTGTATAGACAAGATCTCACTATTTTGTCCAGGCTAATCTCCAACTCCTGCCCTCAAGCGATCCTCCTGCCTCAGCCTCCCAAAGTATTGGGATTACAGGTGTGAGTCATAGCACCCAGCCTATGATTCATTTTTAATTGCTTAAAAAATATATAGGCCTGGGTGCAGTGGCTCACACCTTTAATCCCAGCACTTCGGGAGGCTGAGGCAGGTGGATCACCTGAGTTCAGGAGTTGGAGACCAGCCTGGCCAACACAGTGAAATCCTGTCTCTACTAAAAATACAAAAATCAGTCAGGTATAGTGGCAGGTGTCTGTTACTCTTGCTACTCAGGAGGCTGAGACAGGAGAATCACTTGAACCCAGGAGGTGGAGGTTGCAGTGAGCCGAGATTGCGCCATTGAGGGACATCTCAAAAAAAAAAAAAAATTAGCTGGGCGTGGTGGCGCATGCCTGTAATCCCAGCTACTCAGGAGGCTGAGGCAAGAGAATCGCTTGAACCCAGGAGGTGGAGGTTGCAGTGAGTCAAGATGGTGCCACTGCACTCCAGCCTGGGTGACAGAGGGAGACTCCATCTCAAAAAAAAAAAAAAGTAAACCCTTTATATGTGTGTATATGTTTCCTTATGTTGGCAATAGCCCACACAAGGTAGTAGAAGTATGCAAGTAAATTTAACACTGGTTAGTCAGGGGTAGAATTAAGAGGAGACAAAGGGAGATTATGCAGTTTGTCTTTATAACCCTCTACCTCATTTAACCTAGTATAATTAAGCATGTCATATTTGTAACTTTTTCAATTTAAAAAAAGAAAGACGAAAGGCAAGGGATGCTTACCCTGGATCTTCCTATGGCTAGACGATTATCTCCAGGTATTAAGCAGCAAGATATGTATTAAAATCACATATAGGCCGGGCACGGTGGCTCACACCTTTAATCCCGGCACTTTGGGAGGCTGATGTGGGCAGATCAACTGAGGTCAGGAGTTGGAGACCAGCCTGGCCAACATGGTGAAACCCTGTTTCTACTAAAAATAAAAAATTAGCCAGGTGTGGAGGCAGGTGCCTGTAATCCCAGCTACTTGGGAAGCTGAGACAGAGGATTGCTTGAACCCAGGAGGCAGAGGTTGCAGTGAGCCGAGGTCACACCACTCCAACCTGCACTTCAACGTGGGTGACAGGGTGAGACTGTCTCGAAAAAAAAAGAAAAAGAAAAAAAATAAATACAATAATATATGGAGGGGTCCTACAGCATCTGCATCTGCTCCTTGGTGAGATGGAACATGGCTGGAGTCCGGGAGAGTGGAGGGAGGAGCAGTTAAGAACAAGCCTCTGGGTTGGGCAGAGCTGCATTTTAATCCCAGCTCTCTGCCACTGACTGAGCTGTGGGACTTGGGCCAGTTATTTAACTGCTCTGTGCCTCAGTTTCCCTATCTTTATAATGGGAGTAATTAGCCTCTATCACTGGGTTATCAGGAGAGTAAAATGAGATCATGCATGCAGGATGCTTAGCACAATGCCTGGCATACAGTGTTCAAGAAAGGATAGTCGTTATCATTATTAATATTATTTACAGTAGGTGCATCTCAGTTGTGTAGGGAGTGGGGAATGGTGGTTATAAAAATCTAAAGGAGGTGACAGTGACCTAAATTTAGGCTCCCATACTTCCAGGCATATATTGATGTGTTCCTGCACCATCCACCTAAGAACTGATTTTATTCTTGAGGGTATTATAGCTAGCTAAAATAAAAGACTACATTTCCCAGGCTCCCTTGCAGCTAGGGGCAGGGGAAGTCTGGGATGGGACTTTGCTTTCGGAAGATGCCCTTCTGCTCTTTCTTTCCCTCCACCCTCCTGCTGTCTGGGTCCTAGAGTTGATGGCTGGGGTCCTGGCGGCAATCTGGGACCCTGCAGCACCTGGAGGGAAGAAGCCACGTCCCCAGGACAGTGGCGCAGAAACACAGGAGTCTGAGTCCCTGATGACCCTGCAGTGGCCGTGCCAGCCCCAGCCCACCTCCCTCTGCACTTATATGTGAGAGAGAAATAAACCTCTATCTTGCCTAAGACTTTGTTTAGGTTTTCTGTAATGTGAAGGCAAGCCCAGCCCTAACTAATTGAGTTCTCACAGAACGACTACAAATTCCAAAGCCCATGGCTAGGAGGTGGCGCAGGGCGTGGCCTGGGGAGGGGCTGCTGCCTGCTCCCAAGCGAGCCTGGGCCTGGGCACTTACTCATCGCCAATGTAGAGCTTGGGCCAGACCTCGTTGACGTGGGTGTACTGGGGACTGCCCTTCCAGAAGAGCCGCTCCAGCTCAAAGGCTCCAGGGGTGCAGTAGTCCTCCTCCTCCCCTTCCTCCTCCATCTTCGGCGACAGCCTCTTGGCAGATGAGTAGGCATTCTTGAGGCTTGTCTTCACTTCTCCAGATGTCATTTTAGAGCCAAGGGATTTTCTCTCCTTTCTGCAGCTGGTTATGAGAGAGAAGCAGGATGGGGGTTAGCAGGGGACACTGAGGCAGGGAATAGGCTTTACAAAAAGAGGTGGGAATAAGCTTATCTTAAAATTTGGAAAGAGTTTCCCCAACCTGCTATGCCCCGGCTTCCTCTTCCCAGGCCACACAGGTAAACAAGGAAGGCCATGATGGCAGTTAAATGACACTTCCCCAATGTTCCAATCTTTCTAGAGAAGGAGAGCTGGGGTCCTTGGACGTGGGCCAAGGCGGGCTCTGGAGCTAAGAAATCCTGCAAGCAGCCAGTTCCTTCCCACCTTTCTTTAGACTTTACTCCTTTGGTTCCTACTTTTTCCTTTATCTGACTGAAACCTACTGGTTTGGGCCATTTGGGACCCAAAATAGGAAGGCCCAGAAGATTCCTGACATTCCAGGCCTGTGGCCCTCTCAGTGTCTGCAGGGAGCCGTCAGCCAGTGGAAAGAGTACATCGCCAAGGCCATACCTGCCCGGGCCTGGGTCTGGGCCACACGCACATCAGCAGGACTTCAGAAGCCTTGAGAGGGGAGGAAACC
Source organism: Homo sapiens (assembly GCF_000001405.40). Lineage (NCBI taxonomy): Eukaryota > Metazoa > Chordata > Mammalia > Primates > Hominidae > Homo > Homo sapiens. Next base: position 263,780 of record NW_009646202.1, read on the forward strand.
TGGCTGCATGAGGGTTAACCTGTCAGAAGAGCTGAAGGCAATGCTCACACTCTCACACTGGGAGCCTGGCCATCACTGTGTTAACTTACCAAGGGGATTGGAAGAGATGCCCCAAGATAGAAAGCTGTGCCTCGAGACTGAAATGTGCATTTGGAGAGCTTGTTAGGCTCTGCCAGTGGAATGTGGGAGAGGACTTTCCATTGTCCCCAAGGAGAGGAATTTGCAGTGGAATTGGACATTGATTGTTTCCTGAGCTGAGTAAATGATGCACCTATGGTCAGCCTGGGAAAGGAGACTGGAGAGAAGGAGGAAAAGGTGGGAAGACTGAGAACCATGGAGGTGAATGCTATTTGTTTATTTATTTGACAAATACTTATATAACACCTATTGTGTGCCAGACACTATTCCAAGTGCTTGATGATTGTAAGCCCATTTAATCTTAACAACACTGAGATAGGGTTATCCTAATACCCTATCATTAGCCCCATTTTACAGATAAGGAGGATCATGAATTGAGGCTGTCTGTAGCACAGGGTCTTAGTGTCAGGGGGAGGGAGATGGGAGGTGCAGTGTGAGGAGGGGCAGGCCGGGGATGCAGAGAATGTAGGAAAGGGTTCATGGCTTCAAAGACCATTAGGAACATGTCAAAGGGACTCAGAATACAACTTGAAGAAGCTTCCACTTATCAAAACTGGAACAATTTGAACATGAAAAATAAAAATAATTCCAGTGGATCAAAACACATCAAACACTTAGGTCATAATAATACTGAAGGCCAGGCGCGGTGGCTCATGCCTGTAATCCCAGCACTTTGGGAGGCCGAGGCGGGCAGATCACCTGAGGTCAGGAGTTCAAGACCAGACTGCCTAACATGGCGAAACCCCATCTCTACTAAAAATACAAAAAATTAGCCGGGTGTAGTGGCGGGTGCCTGTAATCCCAGCTACTTGGGAGGCTGAGGCAGGAGAATCGCTTGAACCTAGGAGGCAGAGGTTGCAGTGAGCTGAGATCGCACCACTGCACTCCAGCCTGGGCAACAAGAGTGAAACTCCATCTCAAAATAATAATAATAATACTGAAAACAGTCCGGGAGCAGTGGCTTATGCCTGTAATCCCAGCACTCTGGGAGGCTGAGGTGGGCAGATTGCATGAGCCCAGGAGTTCAAGACCAGCCTGAGCAACATGACAAAACCCATCTCTACAAAAAAATGCAAAAATTAGCTGGGTGTGGTGGTGCATGCCTGTAGTCCCAGCTACTCAGGAGGCTGAGGCTGAGGTGGGAGGACCACTGGAGCCCAGGAGGCTGAGGCTATAGTGAGCCAAGATCATATCACTGCTCTCCTGGGCAACACAGTGAGACCTTATAAAAAAAAAAAAAAAAACCCAAAACTTATTATGCACGGTTGGAAGATGTTTGGGAACCAGCTCCTTATTTTGAAGATGGATAGATAAAGGAGAAGAATCTGCATGTATTGCTTCTCTCTTTTACAAACTATATACTACTGGGTTGATACGGGAAATGTTCTTTTATAGAAGTATTCCAGATAATGAATAAAGAAGGAAGCACCATTTTACACCACCTGATGAGTTGCTGCATCCAGAGACTGAGCATAAACTGCCAGCCACGTATGAATAAGAAGAGATGGTCAGACATCATATGCCTTCGAATAGAAGAGCACACCACCATGGCGGGAATCATCTCACCAAAGAGGTCTATATCTATCAGCCGACTTGCTGGAGATTCCGAGGACAGTTACGTTATACCACAGGGCCTTATCTTTTAGAAAAACATACTGAAATATTTGCTTCAAAAATAATATAGTTGGAAAATATAAATAATATAATGTTGGGGCAAGGTATTGATGTAGGTGTGAATGAGATGGGCTGGCTATGAGTGATGGTGATTGGGGCTGGATGATGGTTATAAGGTAGTTGTTGTTTCTCTTTTTTCCTTTTTTAAAATAGAGATGAGGTCTCGCTATGTTGGCCAAGCTGGTCTCGAACTCCTGAGCTCAAGTGATCCTCCCACCTCAGCTTCCCAAAGTGTTGGGATTACAGGTGTGAGCCATCACACCTGGCCAGTTGCTGTTTCTCTTCAGGTGTGTTTGAAATTCTCCATGATAGAAATTTAAAAGGAAAGGGTTGAGACCACTGCTTTGGGGAATTGGATTCTCCCAAGTCCATAGCAGATGACTTAAAGGATCACTAGCTAGCCATGAGTGTCTGTAGGGATTGTGGGAAGCCAGGGTTTGTGACTTCCTCCAACAACTTCCTGCTTCCTGGTGAAGTGTGGAGAGGGCAATAGGCAGCAAAGGGGACCCTCCTGTGAAGTCTCTCAAAGTGTGGTCTGAAGACCACGTCTGTCAGAGTCACCTGGCACTAACCAAAAATACAGATATCCGGGCTGCACCCTCGTAGGGGCGCAGGCATCTGTATCTCAATGAGCTCCGAAGTGAGTCTGACGCTTAGTAAAGTTTGATAATAATTGTCTGAGATGTGGCTAGAGAGCCAGGGTGCTGCGGAGTCAAGGGAAAGGTAGTGAGGGTGCTCATTCAAAATGCCTCCCGCTGTCCCAGTGGGGTGGGAGGCCCGGTCTTTGGCCCAGAATGCAGCTGCAGGCTGGGAGGAGAGAGGACCTTGCTTCGGGGCTCCTGAGTGTGGCTTCTCTCTGTAGCCTTGGTGTCTGGCACGTAAGAGGTGCTCAGGAGATATGGGTTGGATGAGGAAGTGGCTTAGTGAATGAATGGAATGAGTGAATGAGTGACTGAGGGGTGAAGGAATGATTAAGGGCTGTGAGGCCTGTGCAAGGGGCTCAGCAAGAGCTGCTAAGGCAGGACTGAGCCTCCAGGCTGATTTGGAGGAGGGAGAAGGTGAGGGGACTGCAGGCGCAGGGTGGGCTGCCCTCCCCCACGGGTGGTCATTCAGGCCCAAACTCTATTCTGGGGCCTGCCTGCTGTGTTTCCAGTCAGGAAGGAAGAAATTATTTTAAGGAGTGGCCAGAAATCTTTCTCACAGAAACGAGCCCAGACCTTTCAGTCCCCTAAGAGCATACGTAGTTATAGCCCTCCTTGCTTCAGGCCCACAGTGTCTAAAGGTGTGAAGCTCAGCTCGTCCATGGCACCCACTCTTCTTGTTCGAAGTGAGTAGAAGCTGGGCACCATACACCTAAAGGTGGTTTAGGCCATCTTGAACCCTGCCTGCGGTTAATGGAAGCTTCAGAAGAGGTGATTTTCGGGAGACGCTAGAGTCAATTCCGTTCTGAAACCTCCGTCTGCCTCCTTTGATCACTGAAGCTGACCTCACCCTTGGTGAGGCCATTCTTCCTTCATTACACTGTGGAGGGAACCATCCCCGTCTCCATCTCTGTGCTGAAAGCCTCGGCTGGATTTCCAGACAAAGGAGGAAGTGGTGCGGTCTACCCCGAGGAGCTTGGCACGCAGAGTGAGCCCTGGGATCTATTATCCTCCAGCACGCAGATTTGATGGGGAAAGAGAACAAAGTGTGGAACCGTCCAGAAACCACAGACCTGTAATCTTTCCAAATCCTGAAGGCGGCCTGTGTGCACCCTCTCTGCATGGCTCCCAACTCTCTAATTCTCAGAGAGGCCAGGAGCATCTGTTTCCCAGATCACAGCCAACATGGAAGGGAAGACAAATCTGTTCTGTTTGGTTTCCATAGATTCGACCCAGAGATTAACTGCCAAGGTCTCAATGACACACACAATATCAATCACAGGCTAAATGTCATAATGAGAGCTGGGCAGGCTGTCAAGAGAGGCCCCCAGGTTCCTGTTACAGCTTCATATTTAAAGATTTGGTCCCAGGAAATCAAATGCTGTCTCCGAGACGACTTGGCCTACATGCAATGGCAGCCTGTCTCCTCCTTAAAAGGTGACAAACTCAGGCTCCTTCAGGGAGGGGCCAGGCAGATAACATAGAGGAAGGAAGTAGGTTGGGTGTTAAAAAGTAAACAAACAAAAACCTGGCTGTTGGCCTCAGGCAAGAGACATTAGGGAGTGGTGGGGAGTGTGGCACATCAGGGAGCATATGCCTCCATTAAGGGGGCAGCAGCTTGCTGTCCCATGTGGGAATGCAAGCCCAGATTTTCTGGTATTTTTATGATCCTCATAGATTGTTGTGAGAAATCTATTGATTTTTAAATGTAAGCCCCTGTAATCGATGCTATTCTTGCCCTGTTACAAGGATAGCATCTACTACAGGTGCCTACAGGTGCCTCCTCAGCTCAAGTCACTGCAGCAGAAGTGGACAGTTCTTTATATACATAAAAGCCTTCCTACCTCAGATGCCTGTTTTCCTGCTTGAGGGCATTTTCTAGTCCTTGTGCTGGTCAGGCCTGCAGTATGTGGAGTTAACATCCCCCAGAAGTTGTCACCAATTAGAGGCAGGAGTTGGTGGATAAACATCCCCACTTCCTCAACCCTGAGTGGACCACTTTTGAAATATGTCCTGCACAGTCTCCTGGAGGCTGGCCCGTGTGTTGGAGCTCCAGTTGCCCAGAGTGGGACTCTGCTCGCTTACACATCCTTCACTGGTTCTCCTCCCTCTTGGGTGCTCTGCATGCCACACCGTGCTCCCGGGAGCACCTCTCAAATAAACAACATGCACCCAAACTCTAGTCTCAGAGTGTGCTTTTAAAGGAAACTAAACCAAGGTACAGCTAATTTAAAAACATTTAAAGGTGAAAGACACGGTATACATATATCAAAACATCACATCGTATCCCACAAATACAATTATTATTTGTCAATTAAAAATAAAAATGTAAGGAGAAAAGAAAAAACAAAGCTACCATGATAACAGAAGATGCAAGAGGCCGAGCAGTACTTGACCACTAAGGCCTGGAGTGCCATTTCCTTCCATGAAAGTGACCTTGCCTTTGAAGAGCTATCAGCACAGGGACTCCTCATTAACTCAGACTCTAGTTCAGACTTTTTTTTTTTTGAGATAACGTCTCACTTTGTCACCCAGGCTGGAGTGCAGTGGCACAGCTCACTGCAGCCTCAAACTCCTGGGCTCAATATCCTCTTGCCTCAGCCTCCCAAGTAGCTGAGACCACAGGTTGCACCACCACACCTGGCTAATTTTTTTTTTAAAGTTTTTTTGTAGCCGGGCACGGTGGCTCACGCCTGTAATCCCAGCACTTTGGGAGGCCAAGGCAGGTGGATCACAGAGTCAAGAGATCGAGACTATCCTGGCCAACATGGTGAAACCCCGTCTCTACCAAAAATACAAAATTTAGCTGGGTGTGGTGGCGCATGCCTGTAGTCCCAGTGACTTGGGAGGCTGAGGCAGGAGAATTGCTTGAACCTGGGAGGCAGAGGTTGCAGTGAACCGAGATCGCGCCACTGCACTCCAGCCTAGTGACAGAGCGAGACTCCGTCTCAGAAACAAAAAACAACAACAAAAAAAGTTTTTTGTAGAGATGGGCTCTCACCATGTTGCCCAAACGGGTCTTGAACTCCTGGGCTCAAGCGTTCCTCCTGCCTCAGCCCCACAAAATTCTGGGATTACAAGCATGAGCCACTGCACCTGGCTTATTTCAGAATTTTCTATTGCAAGGCTTGCATTTAGTTAAAGGTTTCCTTTGCCCAAGTAGGAAAGGTTTTAATCTGAATTTGAAACTGTAATTTGACACCATTATTTTACTTTATGCATAAAAAAACCCAAACAAGCAAAAAACTTTTTATAGTTTTTTTTTTTAACTAGGAAAAAAATACATCAAAATGTCAATACCATGGGTGACTTTTTCTTCTGTTTCCTAATTTGGGATTCTTTTAATAAATAGTGATATTTTATAATAAATAACCATGTGTATATTTTTAAACTGTGCTGGCCAAGCAGAACAGTCTTGGCAGGAAGCTGCTTGTGACTTCTATTTTGCGATTTCTACCCCATCTCACTTGCTCCTGGGGCCTGGCACTGTCACTGGCCCCAGCAATCACTGAAGACCCTCAGATCTACATGTTCCATCCTCCCTGAGCTCCAGTGCCTTCTTTGACAAAAATGGAGCTAAAGCTAGAGGGGCAAAATGCTTTTTAAACAAACAAACAAAAAAACAAAAAAATTTCAAGCTGAACTCTTTTGCTTGCTAAGGTGGCAGATGGGAGAAGCGGCCTGGAGAGATGCATAATTCATTTCAGTGGGAAAATTAAAATCTCTAAGTAGAACCCTTGAGGCTGCAGAGATTGGCTAGGGAGCAATGCCTAGGAATGAGAGCATGTGTCAGGAAAGAAGGCTTATCTTTTTTCTTTTTTTTTTTGAGACAGAGTCTTGCTCTGTCACCCAGGCTGGAGCTCACGGGTTCAAGCGATTCTCCTGCCTCAGCCTCCGGAGTAGCTGACACTACAGGCACCCGCCACCCCACCCGGCTAAATTTTGTATTTTTAGTAAAGACAGGGTTTCACCATGTTGGCCAGGCTGGTCTCAAACTTCTGACCTCAAATGATCCACCCACCTTGGCCTCTCAAAGTGCTGGGATTACAGGCATGAGCCACCGCGCCCAGCCATCTTAATATTTTGAAGAGCCACATACAGGCTTCTTGCTTAACAGAAAGCACAATTTAAGGATTTTTTTTTTTTTCCGTAGAGACAGGGCCTCACTCAGTTGCCCAGGCTGTGGTGCAGTGGTTCAATCATGGCTCGCTGCAGCCTCAATCTCCCAGGTTCAAGGGATCCTCCCACCTCAGCCTCTAGAGCAGCTAGGACTGCAGGCATGTGCCACCACACCCAGCTAATTTACTATTATTATTATCATTTATTTTATTTTATTTTATTTTATTATTTTATTTTTGTAGACATTGTCTTGCTATGGTGCCCAGGCCTGTCTCCAACTTCTGGCTTCAAGTGATCCTCCCATTTCAGCCTCCTGAAGCACTGAGATTACGGGTGTGAGCCACTTTGGCCTATTTGAGGGTCCCTTTGATGGGAAAAACATGAGTTCTGTGGCATGGCCCAGAAAGAGGTGGAGTGAAACAAAGAGAACTAAATTGTTCTGTACAATAAAGCAAGAGACTTTTGAGTTTCCTAGAACATTCTAGAAGGAGTATGAGGGGGCCCTGCGGCAGGACTGAGGAAAGGACCAACTGGGGCCAGAGACCACCAAGTGAGGAGTTTCTGGGGGAGGAATAGCCACGAGATTACTGAGAACGGGGGTTCCCAACCTTCAACTTGGCAGTGCCCCATAGCTGTGGCAGCCCTCTCATTGGGACCCTAACCCTTCAACAGAATTGTTACACACAACAGCCATGTTCTCGGTGACTCCAAGAAATCAAAGGGAAAGAGGCTGGCGCTGGCAGAGAGAGAAAGCAGAAGTTTGTGAAGCAGCAGATACAGAACCATCCCCTTCTTGTACAAAAATAAATTTCCCCAAAATATTAACACTGGCTACATGCTCGTTTTAGGGTGACGAAATTATATGTGATTTTTGTTTTCTTTTTTTAAAGTAACCATCTTTTCTAAATTTTCTGTGCTAGACATGTTTTACTTGAGCATATGGAGGGAAAAAAACAAAATTCCATGAAAGTTCTATTTTAGAAGTGTTCTGCACGGAGTAGAAGCTCACCCAAAACCCCCGGGCCGAGGCAGGAAGGTGGCCCTCAGGACAAGGTCTGACCCTGCTCCTTACATCTCTCCAGTGGCACCGAGTGCCTCCTGTCAAGTGGGAGCCCCCCGAAGGCAGCTCTGTGTCCTCCCCGAGGCTGCCCATGGCAGCAGTCAGGCCTCCGTGGTGTCAGAAGGTCATCCTAGCCGCCTGTGCCTCCTGAGAAAGCAGGAGGAATCTAGGTTTTGTGGATCTTGAAGCTTATTCAATTTCTTTTTTCTTTTTTTTCTTTTTCTTTTTTTTTTTTTCTTTGAGACAGAGTCTTACTCTGTCGCTCAGGCTGGAGTGCAGTGGTGCAATCTCAGCTCACTGCAACCTCTGCCTCTTGGGTTCAAGCAATTCTCCTGCCTCAGCCTCTCCCAAGCAGACACGACTACAGGTGTGTGCCACCACACCTGGCTAATTTTTGTATTTTTAGTAGAGATGGGGTTTCATCATGTTGACCAGGCTGGTCTCGGACTCCTGATCTCAAGCAATCCTCCTGTCTCGGCCTTCCAGAGTGCTGGGATTACAGGCGTGAGCCACTGCACCCGGCCTGAATTTCTTTAAGTAAAAGAAAACCAAACAGGTATAGGGCCTTGGAAGCGGCTGGTGCAAGTGCAGGGTTCTGAAGCTTGGGGTAAATCCACCTCGGAGTAGGGGGGATCTTCCTTCCCCTCTGACTTCAGATGAAGAGGGCAGCCCCCCTCCCCACCCCATCCCTTACAGTGTCAGAGCCAGCATCATTGATTCTGCTTAGCTTGGTCTTAGTCTAACTCAGCTGACATGGGGGTGCTCTGGCGGGTCACGAGAAGGAATGAGGAGTGGCATCGTTCCCTCCTTGACTTCCCCTCAGAAGTTAGGCCTGGCCCTGACTCCAAAGCTTTACCGTGTATGCCCCTGTGTAGGGTTGGGCTGGGCCAGGCCAGCATGGGAGGGGATCGGAAAGGGGTGTGCTGAGCTAAGCCAGGGAGGTCTCTGCCTTCTAGAGGTTTTTAGCTGAGTAGAACAATTTATAGTGTAAACATTTAAAAAATTCTCCTCTCCCTAGAGGTCAAGACTAGCCTGGGCAACATTATGAGACCCTGTCTCTATAAGAAAATATTTTATTTTATTTTATTTTATTTTGAAACAGAGTCTCACTCTGTCGCCCAGGCTGGAGTAAAATGGTGCAATCCAGGCTCACTGCAACCTCCGCCTCCCAGATTCAAGCGATTCTCCTGCCTCAGCCTCCAGGGTAGCTGGGATTACAGGCGCTCACCATCCCGCCCAGCTAATTTTTGTATTTTTAGTAGAGATGGGGTTTCACCATGTTGGCTAGGCTGGTCTTGAACTCCTGACCTCAAATGATCCACCCCCATCAGCTTCCCAAAGTGCTGGGATTATAGGCATGAGCCACTGCACCTAGCCTTCTGCAAGAAAATTTTTAAAAATTATATACATATAACAGAAAAGTTACCACCTTAGCATTTTAAAATACAGTAAAGGCTGGGTGCAGTGGCTCAGGCCTGTAATCCCAGAGCTTTAAGAGGCTGAGGCGGGAGGATTGCTTGAGTCCAGCAGTTCAAGACCAGCCTGGGCAACATGATGAGACTCCCATTTCTACAAAAGATAGAGAAAAAAATAGCTGACCATGGAGGTGCATGCACCTGTGGTCCCAGCTACTTGGGAGGCTGAGGTGGGAGGATTGCTTGAGCCCAGGAGTTTGAGGCTGCAGCGAGCTATGATCATGCCACTGCACTCCAGCCTGGATGACAGAGTGAGAACCTTCTAAATATGAAAAATCCTCCTCTCCCTTCGAAGGCATTCTGTATCTGTGCCTGTGTGTAGATCCATTGCATTTTCATGTTTCTAAAGCATGGCGCTCATGGGGAAAGCTGGTCTGTGTTTAAGTGCCTGTGTACCACGTTTCTTCCATGACACCACCCAAGTTGGGCTTGGATATGCTTGGAAAGAAGGGGGAGAGTAAAAATGTTATTGTGGTTGGGTGAATTACTCTATTAGGAGAGTAATACCTACTGCTAGGGTACGTGGGGAGGGGCGGAATTTGGCAGCAGTGTCCATATGTAAATATGTACATATTTTTAACTTAGTACAAGTTAGTGCTTGTCTTTACGCATTTTAGATATACAAAAATGATCCCAACTAGGGAATGAAGTAAGTGGATTTTTTTTAAAAAGAAAACTTGGACGTAAAAACTCAGGAATTTTTTGTGGCCTATAATTTAATTCCTAATGTATCAGACATATTCCAAGTTTAACAGATTTTTTTTTTTCTTTTGGATTCTGGCAAGTATGTTAACAGGAGGCAATTATGTGAATTAATATAAAATCCTTTTATTAAAAAATACAGAAGAGCCTTCATTTTAAAAGTAATTTAATATTCCTTCTCTGATGGTGTTGATGTCATGAACTTGTTTGATTAACTCTTCAAATGGTTTCAAAGCGCTTGGGGTTGTAATTTATGAACTTCTAATTGATTTCCCCAATCTTGGTTTGGCAGAGGAGGGCCTCCCGGAAGCCCTGAGGAGGCTGGAGGCCACACTCAGCTTCCTTCTCAGACAAGGGAGCCGGCCGGGATGGACTTTCTCGAGCGGCCAGGGGAGAGGGAGCTGTGGCACTGGAGACCCAGACCATGATGTCTGACCAGGCCCGTTGTGGTTCCTGAATCCTAAGCAGCTGGGCCTTCACTCCCTCTGAAGATGTGTGGAAACACCACAGGCGGTTTCACAGGAACCATTTCCCACTGGGCCTCACCTCAGAACAAGCCTTCCTTGTTCGGGGAAGGGCAAGACTCCGCAGGTGCAGCCCTCACCATGGTCCTGCCGCTCCACCACTTCCTGTCCAGGCCACTTATTCGTCACTGGTCCTGTCTCAGATGCTACACAGAGGACGCTCTGGGCCTTGGGAAGGCGAGGGGCTAAGGCTGCCACCTCTTAAATCTGCCACCCACAAAAGCTCGCAGAGAAATCAAGGCCTTGGCTGGACCCAGGGAAATGATTGTGTTGCTTTTATTGTGTGCCCAGTGATTATCTACTCTCAAAACCTTGTAGATAGTGGCTGGGCACGGTGGTTCACACCTGTAATCCCAGCATTGTGGGAGGCCAAGGCAGGCGGATCCCTTGAGGTGAGGAGTTTGAGACCAGTCTGGCCAACATGGTGAAACCCTGTCTCTACTAAAAATACAAAAAAAAAAAAATGAGCTGGGCGTGGTGGTGTGTGCCTGTAATCCCAGCTACTAGGGAGGCTGAGGTATGAGAATCACTTGAACCCAGGAGGTGGAGGTTGCTGTGAGCCAAGATCATGCCACTGCACTCCAGCCTGGGTGACAGAGTGAGACCTTGTCAAAAAAAAAAGAAAGAAAGAAGAAAGGAAGGAAGGAAGGAAGGAAGGAAGGAAGGAAGGAAGGAAGGAAGGAAGGAAGGAAGGAAGGAAGGAAAAGAAAGAAACGTTCTAGATAGGGAATAACTGCCTCCACTTTACAGATGAAAAAATGAGGGTCAGGGAGGTTAAGAAACAACACACCAAGCTAGTAAAGGGTGCAAATAGGACTCAACCCAACAGCCCCACATCCCAACCCACCACAATAGATACTTCACTATATTCTTGGTCACAAAGTATAAGCTCCTGAGGGCATGCCTGGGCCTCTCAATTCTGTATGCTTCCCTCCCTAGAGTGGAGCACACAGTCATGTAAATTTGCAGCAAGCAGCTCTTATGGGCCTTGGAATCTCACTACCTGGGCTTCGGCTTCCTCATCTGTCAAATGGGGATAACTTGCACCTCACTGGTTGCTGAATTAAATGAGATAATGTAAGCCCTTGGCACATCCGCATGAGCTCAAAGAGGGTTTCAGGGAGCAGAGACAAGGAGGCGGCCTGGAGGGTGGGTGGGGAATTCCCAGCTGTACTGGGAGTTGTGTTCCCAACCGAGAATAGGAAAGAGTGGGTGGAGCAGTTTGGCCGGGGCGGAGGTCTTGGTAGGGAAGCTGTGGCGGAGGAGATGGACTCATGTGAGCCTGAGCATTGTCCTGTGGGTGACAGGACCCATCGCCTCCTGCGTGACATGCAAGAGAGTAGGAGAAAGGACTCTCCCCAGCTAGTCAGCCTCTGGTCGCTGTGTCAGGCTGCTAGGAGATCTGACCCCCTCGTTACTGTGGAACGGGTAGGCCCAGAAACGTGAATGGTCACCAGAAGAGGAGATTAAAACACCATCTGCTCTGAAATCAGGCCGAAGAGGACAAACAGCTAACTCCTGGCCCAGGAACCTGGAGTGGCTGTTTCCAGGCCGGGCCTCCCTGAGACAGGGGCCCTGGTTGGAGTTTAGGGGTTGAGAGGAGTAGGAGAGTGAGATGCCACCAGGCCTCTACCCCAATGAGAGGCACCAGAGCAAAGGGGCTACACCCCGAAACTCTGAGGCACGCTGGGTTCTGGCCTCTGCCCCTGTTTAGGCTGCATGACCTTGGGCAGAACACTTAGTATTTGTGTCTCCGTGTCCAATCTGAAATGGGGCTGTGCTGTCCATCCCTCATTAAGCTGCTGCAATTCTGAGGAATAAATGATTCCTGCTTGTCAGGAAAGCTCTTGGAACAGTGCCAGACACATAGCACAGGAAACACCGCCAGGCCTCGGGGCCGCAGTGTCTGGGGAAGGCTTGGTGGAGGCTGCTCACCCCCACCCTGGTGGACTCAACTGGGCCTCCCTGGGGCTGCTGGAAGATGCTCACAGCCCAGCCCCTGGCCTCAGGGCCTCCCCTAAGCCCCTCATCTACTGTGGGGTCAACAACAGCCACGGGAGTGCCACCCGCAGACAGGACCAGGTTCCCACCCAACCCAGGTGTCAGCCATGACTGAAATGTCCCCAGTAAGGGCTCCAGTTTGTCTGATGGCAGAGGACCACTGGCTCTCTCCTCACCCTCAGCGCAGATCTGCCTTTGCCCATGAAGATCCTTCAGAGCCAAGTGAGATCCTGATACCGGAGGAGGGCCAGGAAGTGCTGGGTAGAGAAAGGCAGGTCCCTGGCCAGGGCTCCACCTCCACAGACCCAGGTGAGGACAGGCACTCCTGCCTTCGCACCCAAATGTTATATTTTCCAAGACCACCCTGGCCCGCCACACCCCAATCCTGTGCCTATAAAAACCTGAGACACACAACCGGCTGGACGTACTGAGGAACACATAGGCAGAAGACACAAGCGGCTGGTTGTCAAAAGCGCGCCGGCAGAAGATCACGCCGACAGGCACTGGCAGGCCTGCAGGCCATTGACAAGCGGAATGATGCGGAGTTTGGCCAGAGCGGTTGGAGGAGAAGAGTCGGCTGCTGAGTGGCCCAACTCCAGGGAAAAACTGTCTCCCTTCTGGCTCCCCCATCTGCTGAGAGCTACTTCTACTCAATAAAACCTTGCACTCTTCTCCAAGCCCACATGTGATCTGATTCTTCCCCTACACCAAGGCAAGAAACCCCAGGATACAGAAATCCCTCTGTCCTTGTGATAAGGAAGGAGGTCTAATTGAGCCAGTTAACACAAGCCGCCTATAGACAGCAAACTAAAAGAGCACCCTGTAACACACACCCACTGGGGCTTCAGCTGTAAACATTCACCCCTAGACACTGCCATGGGGTCAGAGCCCCACAGCCTGCCCGTCTGTATGCTCCTCTAGAGGTCTGAGCAGCTGGGTACTGAACAAGCGAGCCACACCCCCGTCGCATGCCCTGTGAGAGGGACAAAGGAACCTTTCCTGTTTCACTCCCACTAACTCTCCTCAGACCCACCCCATGTCCACCCCAGCCTCCATGCCCAACGCGCCTTCCTTGTTAAGAACTCAGCTCAGAAGCCCTTCAAGTGTTGTTTATTAATGTCAGAGTCCTCGGATTTGTCGGTGGGACCAAATGATATTCTCATGATGAGAACAAGGAGGGATCACAAGCTAAAGGTGGGGGCAGCGGAAAAAACATCCAGGGCCAGGGACCCTCAGGTGCTGGCGGCCGTGAGTGTGGCAACCTCTCCAGACATCCTCCTCGTGCCCTTCCTCCTGTTCGCTGGAGCATTTTCCGCTTTCCCGAACGATCAGAGCCCCCGGGCCCAACTGTTCTTGGGTTCCAGGCCCATGAAGGGACCCCTGGGGTCACAGCACAAGGGCACCAGGGTCTAATGGGAGAGCCCTGGTCTGAGACGCAGGCCCGTCCCACTTCCTGCCCACACAGGTCTGAGACACAGGCCCATCCCGCCTCCTGCCCACACGCGGTACAGCCTACACTCTTGGTCCAGTGGCTCTGATCCTTCATGACCCAGTCCCACCCCCCATCTCTACCACGGCAGCGTCATCCCCAACCCCATCCTCCCACCAGGACTGAGAAATGCTCCCAAACCCGCCACTCTGTCCAAATGACGCTTTTGTGTTACCTGGGACACAGGGAGAATTC